>NC_000017.11:2157777-2309292 GCF_000001405.40 Homo sapiens | reverse complement strand
GGGGGAGAGAAGTGTGAAGAATAAATCCTGGGCCAGGCCTGGTGGCTCACACCTGTAATCCCAACACTTTGGAAGGCCAAGGTGGGAAGATTGCCAGAGGCAAGGAGTTTGAGACCAGCCTGGGCAACACAGGGAAACCCTGCCTCTACAAATTATTATTATTATTATTATTTTGAGATGGAGTTTCGCTCTTGTTGCCCAGGCTGGAGTGCAATGGGGCAATCTCAGCTCACTGCAACCTCCGCCTCCCGGATTCAAGCGATTCTCCTGCCTCAGCCTCCCAAGTAGCTGGGATTACAGGCATGTAGCACCACACCTGGCTAATGTTTTGTATTTAGTAGGGACAGGGTTTCACCATGTTGGTCAGGCTGGTCTCGAACTCCTGACCTCAGATGATCCACCTGCCTCAGCCTCCCAAAGTGCTGGGATTACAGGTATGAGCCACCACACCCGGCCAATATTTTTATTTTTTTGAGATGGAGTCTCACTCTGTCACCAGGCTGGAGTGCAGTGGTGCGATCTTGGCTCACTGCAACCTCTGCCTCTTGGGTTCAAGTGATTCTCCTACCTCAGCCTCCCAAGTAGCTGAGATTACAGGAGCGTGCCACCATGCCCAGCTAATTGGCCAGGATAGTCTTGATCTCTTGACCTTGTGATCCACCCACCTCGGCCTCCCAAAGTACTGGGATTACAGGTGTGAGCCACCGTGCCCAGCCAAAAATTTTTCTTTAAAAAGAGTAACTCCTGGGTTTTGACTTAAATGGTGGTACAATTTGTTGAGATTTAAAACAGGAGAAGAAATAAGTATTTGACAGGAAAATCAGATTTGATTAGCTAAGTTTGAATTGTTTATGAAACATCCAAGAGGATGTCCCTTTTTTAAAAATTATTTTTTGCCAGAAATGTGTGTATATTAGTATCTGCTTTATTTCTGAAGAATGAGCTTTTCAATCTATTTAAAGTACAGCTCTTTTTCCCTTATTTCTGATTGTTTACTCTGCCATTTTCCTTTAATTGTCTTCTATATTTGTTGAATGCTTAGCTTACTAATTTTCACTTTAAAAAGAAAGCATATAAGGTTACTTATAGGATTTTTCCTCTGAGAAGTGCTTTAATATCATGGATTCCATTATGCAATATTTTCATTATTATAATTTCTAAATAATCCAAGATTTTAGTCTTGTTTTCTTTTTTGACCCATGAATTATTTAAAATTGGTGGTTTTTTTGTTGTTTTTTTTTTTTAAAAAGACATTTATTCAGTGTCACGATCAGACTATTACATTTAGCAATCAACAGCTTGGGTGCAAAAAAAAAAAATACATTAAAACCCTTTGTTGGAATGCTTTACACTTTCCACAGAACAGAAACTAAAACAACCTGTTATACAACTAGTCACAAATACAGTCTTCGAGTTTTTTGCCCATACACATGAGTATTTGTCTAAAACATATCTTCTTTGTAGCAGCTAGGCCCTGCCACCACTGTGCTTGGCTTAGTTCACAAATCTGTTGTAACCTGTAGCTTCCCTGTCACTTCGCTGGCTCTCCTCTCATGCTAAGCTTTGTTGCCTAATTAAAATCTTCCGCCACTGCCATAGCTACTGCTGCTACTGGAACCGCCATAGCCACCTTGGTTTCGTGGTTTGGTAAAGTATTGGCCTGCACCACCATAGGGGCCAGAGCTTCTGCCTCCAAAGTTTCCTCCCTTCATGGGTCCAAAAATTGAAGACTAATTGTTGTAATTGCCAAAATCATTGTAGCTTCCACCTCCAAAATTGCTTCCATCATTACCAAATCCATTATAGCCATCCCCACTGCACGATATCCACCACCACCACAGCTGCCACCAAAGCCACCATGACCACTGAAATTTCCTTCACAACCAAAGTTGTCATTCCTACCGAAACCACCTCCACGACCACCACCAAAGTTTCCAGAAGTACTTTGACCTCTTTGGCTGGATGAAGCACTCACCATCTCTTGCTTTGACAGGCCTTTCCTAATTTCACAGTTGTGGCCATTCACAGTATGGTATTTCTGAATGACAGTCTTATCCACGGAGTCATGATCATCAAAGGTTACAAAGGCAAAGCCCCTTTTCTTGCCACTGCCTTGGTCAGTCATGATTTCAATCACTTCAGTTTTTCCATACTGTTCAAAATAATCACTTAGGTGATATTCTTCAGTGTCTTCGTTAATGCCACCAACAAATATCTTTTCCATAGTTAAGTGGGCATCTGGTCTTTGAGAATCTTCTCTTGAGACAGCTCTCTTTGGTTCCACAACTCTTCCATCCACCTTGTGTGGCCTTGCATTCGTGGCTGCATCCACCTCCTCCTCAGTGGCATATGTGGCAAATCCAAAGCCCCTGGAGTGCTTGGTGTTTGGATCTCTCATTACCACACAGTCCGCGAGTGTTCCCCATTGCTCAGAATGGCTCCTCAGGCTCTCATTGGTTGTTTCAAAGCTCAGCCCTCCAATGAAGAGCTTCTTCAGCTGTACGAGCTCTTTAGGAGACTCTGACTTAGACTTGGCGGTGTCCATGGGTGGAAAGTGTTTGTTTTGTTTTATTTTTGAGACAGAGTCTCTATCTGTCACCCAGGCTGGAGTGCAGTGGCGTGATCTCGGCTCACTGCAGCCTCTACCTCCTTGGTTCAAGTGATTCTCCTGCCTCAGTCTCCCAAGTAGCTGGGATTACAGGCACCCACCACCACGCCCGGCTAGTTTTTGTATTTTTAGTAGAGACGGGGTTTCGCCATGTTGGCCAGGCTGGTCTCGAACTCCTGACCTCAAGTGATCTGCCCACCTTGGCCTCCCAAAGTGCTGGGATTACAGGCATGAGCCACGGGGCCTGGCCTAAAATTGTTGTTTTTAAAAAAATTCCAAATGGTTAGAATGTTTTGCTTCATTTGTGGCTATTCACTTCTAGTTTTATTACTTTGTGCTAAGTAAATATGACCTGTACAATTTTTTTTTTTGACGGAGTCTCACTCTGTCGCCCAGGCTGGAGTGCAGTGGAGCAATCTCGGCTCGCTGCAACCTCTGCCTCCCAGGTTCAAGCAGTTCTCCTGCCTGAGCGTCCCAAGTAGCTGGGACTACAGGTGCCCGCCACCACACCCAGCTAATTTTTTTGTATTTTAGTAGAGATGGGGTTTCATCTTGCCCAAGCTGGTTGGGAACTCCTGAGCTCAGGCAATCTGCCCACCTCGGCCTCCCAAAGTGCTGGGATTACAGGCGTGAGCCACCGCGCCCGGCCAACTTGTACAATTTTTACTTTTAGAAACTGAATTCAAGGCTGGGCGCGGTGGCTCACGCCTGTAATCCCAGCACTTTAGGAGGTTGAGGCGGGTGGATCACCTGAGGTCAGGAGTTCGAGACCAGACTGGTCAACATGGTGAAACCCCATCTCTACTAAAAATACAAAAAATTAGCTGGGCATGGTGGTGGGCGCCTGTAATACCAGCTACTCAGGAGGCTGAGGCAAGAGAATTGCTTGAAACCAGGAGGCAGGTTGCAGTGAGCCAAGATTGTGCCACTGCACTCCAGCCTGGGCAACAAGAGTGAAACTCCGTCTCAAAAAAAACGAAAAACAAAAAATCTCAGCAGCTTTCATTGTGATACTGACTTAAATATGGTTGTCTTTCTTGTCATTTCTTTTTACCTGGTATTTCATGAATTCTTTAAATCTGATAATTCAAAAATTTCCACCAACGTAGTAAATTTTCTTCTACTATTTGATTATTGCTCTTCTGCAGTCAGCTGTATTATCCCCTTCTGGAACTCGTATTTAATTATTAATTTTTTGTACCCCTTCTCCATGTCTCCTATCTTTGTCTCTCAGTTTTTATCTATTACCTTTTCCTTCTGAGTTCTGGTAAATTTTCTTGAACTGGTTTAACTTTTGGCATATCTAATCTGCAGTTCACTGACACTGTTGCATTAAATGGGTGGTGCCATTTGTCCTAAGAAAGTTTTCTTGTTTTCCATTATTTTTCCAGCTGAAAAAAGAAATCATGCAATGGCCTCTCAAATTTCAATATGAAACAGATTATTTTTTAACGCTTCTTCCTATTTCTCTCAAATCTGGTGGCAAAGGCTGTCTTCTGCTCTGACCACTCAAATGGTTCCTCTTCTGAACTGTTGGATCTTTTCACCCATCATCTACTGACTTTCTTCTTATGCTTAACCTTCCGGTGACAAAGTGTCACGTAAAAGGAACTGAAGGAGTTCTGTCAGAGGTTGTGGCAATCCCTTCGGCTCAGACTAAGGAATAATTGGTAACTATTCTGTGATGGGTGTGGGGTAAAAGCCTATGGGGCTGTGGAGGGGCAACAGGTGGAGGCAGGAGGCCTTGGGGAAGGGAGCTTCACCTCTGTACAGTTCTCCAAAAAAAGATTCAAGTACCAGCCTTCTGGTATAGTTCAATTTTAAAGATGGGAAATTAAAAAGTCAACCTGAGATCCACAGCAGTAATTTTTTTCAAGAATCCATAGTGACACAGAAATTCCCAAATTGACTTTTTTTTTTTTTTGAGGCGGAGTCTCGCTCTGTTGGAGACTCCCGGGCTGGAGTGCAGTGGCGCGATCTCGGCTCACTGCAGTCTCCGCCTCCCGGGTTCAAGCGATCCGCCCGTCTCAGCGTTCCGAGTCGCCGGGATTACAGGTCCCAAATGGACTTATATGCCTCCTGATGTACTTCCTTCCACACGATTCCAACTATATCGTATCTAGTTTTTAAAAGTCAGGGGGCGGCCGGGCGCGGTGGCTCACGCCTGTAATCCCAGCACTTTGGGAGGCCGACGCGGGTGGATCACCTGAGGTCAGGAGTTCGAGACCAGCCTAGTGAAACCCCGTCTCTACAAAAAATACAAAAATTAGCCGGGCTTGGTGGCGTGCACCTGTAATCCCAGCTACTAGGGAGGCTGAGGCAGGAGAATCGCTTGAATCCAGGAGGCAGAGGTTGCAGTGAGCCGAGACCGCGCCACTGCACTCCAGCCCGGGAGTCTCCAACAGAGCGAGACTCCAACTAAAAAAAAAAGGGAATAGTAACAACTACTCTTAGCAGATCTTCAAGGTCCCAAGTAATGGCCCGCGGCGCTAGGCCGGGCCTGTGGCGGGAGAGCCTGGCCTAAGGTGTCCAGAGGAGCCCAGGCTGAGGGGTGTCTCTGTCAACCCGAGTCCCAGACTAGCAGTGTCCTTGGTGTCCACGACAACAGCAACGGCAGCCACCGCCGCAAACGCCCGCCTGGCCTGGCACGGCCCGGCCTCGCCTCACCTCAGCTCACCGGCGCCGCGCCTCCAGCTCCAGCCTCCGCGCGCCTCCCCGGCCGCACCTCTGCGCACGCGCAGCGCCCGCCCGCCCCACCCAGGCTCTCGCTCCGGTCCCGCCCCTCTGGAACCGGCGGCGGGCGCTTTTCCTCCCAGCGCGGCCACCGTCGTTCGGAAAGGGAGGGCGGCAGGGGGCGGGGAAAGGCCGGGAGGTGGGCGAGCGCGCGCGCCGCCCGTCTGTGGTGGTTTCCTGGCTGCGCGCGGCGGTGGCGGAGCCGCTACGGCTGTAGCAGCAGCCGCGAAGATGGCGGAAGGGCTGGAGCGTGTGCGGATCTCCGCGTCGGAGCTGCGCGGGATCCTGGCTACTCTGGCCCCGCAGGCCGGGAGCAGAGGTGAGTCGCGCCGCCCAGCTCCTGGGCCGGGCCTGCCCGCCCCGCCTCCCTCTCCTCCTCCTCTGCCTCCTCCCCGCTCGGCCCTCGGCTCCGGAGCCCCCGCCCCTTCCCCCAGCAGTAGGCGCTGGGGCCGCGGCGGACCCTCGCTGCCCTACCTCTCTCGCGGGTTAGTGCGGGGTCGGGCTCGGCCAGTCCTGGCCAGCTCCGGGAGAGCCTGGCCCGAATTCCTGCCTCCACCCTCTTTCTCGCCGCGAAGGTGACTGTTCCTTTTGCCCCAGCCCTCTCAGACCCGCCCCGGATTCCCAGGCATCGGGAGACGCGGAAAGGAGTGGGGTCTGGTGGAGGCCCCGGGCGTATCGCTCTCCAGGCCGCCCTCCGCGGGCCTGCCCCGGCCACCGCTTTAACGTCGGAGAGAAGGAATTGGGGAGAAAGGTTTAAGAGCCTGCGACTTCGTTGCTGAACTTTTCCCCCCCAAGACAGGCTTCCGAAAGCTGCGCCACTGGAGGGATCCGGGACCTCAGACTACTCGGGTTTGGCCCTGGCATGTGTGGGAGCAGTTTTTATTAGAGAGAATGCTCAATTTGCAAGTTAATTTCAAGTCTCCAGCCACGTCAGGAAAGTAAGAAAGATTCTAAGTGTCTCACCTCTCCTGCGTTAGGCAATAGAGTTGTGTAGAATGGTAGCTGTGATAGGTGCCTTCTCTAGGTTTGCGGCCAGTCTGTGAAATTGGTTTTTGTTGATTAACATAATTGGATTATTAAGGCTATTTTCTCCCGCTGCTCTAGAAAGTAGTAGGAATAGCTTTCCCCATCCCCCCGCCCCCCACCAAGTTACAGACTGCCGAGGGTGAGCTATTCTTGGGTTAAACTGCTTTATCTTTGTGGATACTTCATGAACCTACCTTTTAAACTTATGAAAATAGTGAAGCACTATCCAAAACCTCAGTCTCTTTTCTTCCCCTTTTCCTTACACCTACAAACAGTAAATGTACTTGCTGGAGCATATGATTCCTGTTTTGGGCTTGTTTCCATTTATATTTAGAGAGCAATACTAGGATTAAAAACTTTTTTATTGTTGTTATTATTATTTTTTGAGACGGAGTCTAGCTCTGTCGCCCAGGCTGGAGTGCAGTGGCGCGATCTCTGCTCACTGCAACCTCCGCCTCCCGGGTTCACGCCATTCTCCTACCTCAGCCTCCCCAGTAGCTTGGACTGTAGGCGTGTGCCACCACGCCTGGCTAATTTTTTGTATTTTTGTAGTGACGGGGTTTCTCCGTGTTGGCCAGGATGGTCTGGACTCCTGTCCTCGTGATCCGCCCGCCTTGGCCTCCCAAAGTGCTGGGATTACAGGCGTGAGCCACCGTGCCCGGCCAATTTTTTTGAGGCAGGGTCTCACTCTGTCTTCCAGGCTGGAGTGCAGTGGAGGGATCTCAGCTCACTGTAGCCTCCCCCTCCTGTGCTCAAGTGATCCTCCCACCTCAGCCTTCCGAGTAGCTGGAATTACAGACCTGCACCACCACACCTGGCTATTTTTTGTATACGTTATAGAGACAGGGTGTTGCCATGTTGCCCAGGCTGATCTCGAACTCCTGGCCTCAAGCAGTCCTCCCGCCTCAGCCTCCCAAAGTGCTGGGATTATAGGCGTGAGCTACTGCACCTGGCCTATGCTAGGATTTTATATAGCATTCCATTTGTGTACTTGATAATATTCTCCCGAATTCTGTCACTTTTCCATTGTAATGTTTAGTGGTTACTTTTGATAACGGTAACAGATACTTTTTTAAAAAACCAGATACTTAAGTAAGTATCTGTCCGCTGGGCTGGAGTGCACTGGCGCGATCTCCGCGTACTGCAAGCTCCGCCTCCTGGGTTCACGCTATTCTCCTGCCTCAGCTTCCCGAGTAGCTGGGACTACAGGCGCCCACCACCACGCCCGGCTAATTTTTTGTATTTTTTGTTGAGACGGGGTTTCACCGTGTTAGCCAGGATGGTCTCGATCTCCTGACCTCGTGATCCACCCACCACGGCCTCCCAAAGTGCTGGGATTACAGGCGTGACCCACCGCGCCCGGCCGAGAGTGGTTTCTAAAGTCCTGTATTATTCTTAATTCTTGAGTTCCCAGTTGTTGGCATTTTGAGAGTATGTCACAATCTTTCCATCAGCATCCAGGGAAAGTTCCCTTATGGAACTTTTTTCTAATAATTCCATCATCACAGTAGCAGTTAGTGTCAGTATTCTAGTATGATAGTCTGAGCAGTATTTTGGTAACTCTGTGAGCTACTGTTAGTGAGTTGGTGAGGATGGGTGAAGTTGAAGAATGGGAAAAGAACTGCTTGCTGTTTAATTCACCAGCAGGTATGTTATTTGGTAATTGGTATCTTGAAGAAGAGAATCATCCTGGTCAAGTTTAAAGACTAAAGTTGCATTTTTTTTCTCCAGAGATGTCCAGGACTGATAATTGTTATAATACCCTCCCTCCTTTTTCTCCTTTTTTACTTCTTCCTCCTGCTGTTATGTTAAAAGAACTTAGCCACCCAGGAAAAAGTTAGAGGCGGAAGAAAAGGCTGAGGTGGATTCACAGGCTCTATAGATAGAGAACAGTGTAGTGCTGAAAAGGTTAGAGAGGTCTTTTGTTCTGACAATAATGAGGTAGTTTGGGATCTTGGATTTCTGAATATGACTTGGATGACACATAAGGAGATGGGTTTCCCCCATTTCACTTACCCAAGTGTAGGTAGCCCCAACACAGTTAGGTCCTTAGCCTTGTGAATTGTTGAACAAGTGTTGTAAACCCAGAATTTCTGCTTCTACAGAAATGTCCTTCTTTGCCTACCAGTATTAGCATTTGGATATGTAATTCTTGCTCGACTTTTTTTGTTACTTAACCAGAATGACAGTCTTTCCCCTATCTTCCTTCTTTATTCTTATCTTCTACCTTTCCCTCCCAAACTCTTTCCCCGACATAACAGAAAACATGAAGGAATTAAAGGAGGCCAGGCCGCGCAAAGATAACAGGCGTCCAGATCTGGAAATCTATAAGCCTGGCCTTTCTCGGCTAAGGAACAAGCCCAAAATCAAGGAACCCCCTGGGAGTGAGGAATTCAAAGATGAAATTGTTAATGACCGAGATTGCTCTGCTGTTGAAAATGGTACACAGCCCGTTAAAGATGTCTGCAAGGAACTGAACAACCAAGAGCAGAATGGTCCTATAGACCCAGAAAATAATCGGGGACAAGAATCCTTTCCTAGGACTGCTGGACAAGAGGATCGTAGTCTAAAAATTATCAAAAGAACAAAGAAACCCGACCTGCAGATCTATCAGCCTGGACGACGTTTGCAGACTGTTAGCAAAGAATCCGCCAGTCGGGTGGAGGAGGAAGAAGTCCTCAACCAGGTAGAACAACTGAGAGTAGAGGAAGATGAGTGTAGGGGAAATGTTGCGAAGGAGGAAGTTGCGAATAAACCAGACAGGGCTGAGATAGAAAAGAGCCCAGGTGGTGGGAGAGTAGGGGCTGCAAAAGGAGAAAAAGGAAAGAGGATGGGAAAAGGGGAGGGGGTGAGGGAAACCCACGACGACCCAGCCCGCGGGAGGCCGGGCTCCGCAAAGCGCTACTCCCGCTCAGACAAACGAAGGAATCGCTACCGCACGCGCAGCACCAGCTCAGCTGGCAGCAACAACAGCGCTGAGGGAGCTGGCCTGACGGATAATGGATGTCGCCGCCGCCGACAGGATAGGACCAAGGAGAGGCCACGACTGAAGAAGCAAGTGTCTGTGTCCTCAACCGATTCCTTAGACGAGGACAGAATTGATGAGCCTGATGGATTAGGACCCAGGAGAAGTTCAGAAAGGAAGAGACATTTAGAAAGAAACTGGTCTGGCCGTGGGGAGGGTGAGCAGAAAAACAGTGCTAAAGAATATCGAGGCACTCTTCGTGTCACTTTCGATGCAGAAGCCATGAACAAAGAGTCTCCCATGGTGAGGTCAGCCAGGGATGATATGGATAGAGGAAAGCCTGACAAAGGCTTGAGCAGTGGGGGCAAAGGCTCTGAGAAGCAGGAGTCCAAAAACCCGAAACAAGAACTTCGGGGTCGTGGTCGTGGCATTCTGATTTTGCCTGCCCATACCACCCTATCTGTCAATTCAGCAGGTTCTCCAGAGTCCGCGCCTTTGGGACCTCGGCTTTTGTTTGGATCTGGTAGTAAGGGATCTCGGAGTTGGGGCCGTGGAGGCACCACACGCCGATTGTGGGACCCAAACAATCCTGATCAGAAACCTGCTCTAAAGACTCAGACGCCCCAGCTACATTTCTTGGACACTGATGATGAAGTCAGCCCTACATCTTGGGGTGACTCACGCCAGGCTCAGGCATCTTACTATAAGTTTCAAAACTCTGACAACCCCTATTATTACCCCCGGACACCAGGCCCTGCCTCCCAGTATCCCTATACGGGCTATAACCCTCTACAGTACCCAGTGGGCCCTACGAATGGTGTGTACCCAGGGCCTTACTACCCAGGCTACCCGACTCCGTCAGGACAGTATGTGTGTAGCCCTCTACCTACCAGCACCATGAGTCCCGAGGAGGTAGAGCAGCACATGAGGAACCTGCAGCAACAGGAGCTGCACAGGCTTCTCCGGGTGGCTGACAACCAGGAACTGCAGCTCAGCAACCTGCTCTCCAGGGACCGCATCAGTCCGGAGGGCCTGGAGAAGATGGCGCAACTCAGGTATGATGTGGTCTATTCTGGCTGGAGGGAAATGGGGATCAGCCGGAGGTGTATAGATTGCTATGGCTGAGGAAGGTAGAAACTTTTTAGCTGAGCCACTGGGTATTATTTCCTTTTCACGTTGTAAGGGAAGGGCAGTTGGAAACAGAACAGAAGTTTTATTTCTAGTCTTTTTTTTTTTTTTTTTTAAGACGGAGTCTCGCTCTGTCGCCCAGGCTGGAGTGCAGTGGCACGATCTTGGCTCACTACAAACTCTGCCTCCTGGGTTCATACCATTCTCCTGCCTCAGCCTCCCAAGTAGCTGGGACTACAGGCGCCTGCCACCACACCCGGCTAATTTTTTGTATTTTTAGAGAGACGGAGTTTCACCATGTTAGCCAGGATGATCTCGATCTCCTGACCTCGTGATCCGCCTGCCTCGGCCTCCCAAAGTGCTGGGATTACAGGCATGAGCCACCGCGCCCGGCCCTATTTCTAGTCTTAGAAATAATTATGCATCCTACTTTTTCTTTAAGAAAAAATTATCTTTAAGGGATCATGGAATCTTGAAATGGAAAAAGACTTTCTAGAATGCCAAGAAATGAACAACATGTAACTTGCAGTGAAGATCTTATTTCAGTTGTTAAATTTAGGTGAAGACATATGGGGAAAAACTATTTTCCTAGACACAACTATCTTTAGAATGACATTCTGCTCTGCAGAATGGAAACCAGAGTGAGTAGTATACCTACCTGGTCACATTTTTTATTTCCTGCCAGGGGAGGTGGTTAATTTGCAGGAATCTCAAAACTTGAGTCTAGCTTTTTCTGTGGTGTATTTGGAGCTGGAAGTTGCATGTATTTTATTCCAGAGCTGAACTGCTGCAGCTATATGAGCGCTGTATTCTATTAGATATTGAGTTCTCTGATAATCAGAATGTGGATCAGATCCTGTGGAAGAATGCTTTCTATCAGGTGATTGAGAAGTTCAGGCAACTTGTCAAGGATCCGAATGTTGAGAACCCAGAACAGATTCGGAACAGACTTTTGGAGCTCTTGGATGAGGTAAACTGTCATCTTTTTGTCCTCAGGATAAAGGCTTCAGCATTCTGTAGTTACGATGGATTTTTACTACCTGAAATACTATGTTTTAGAACAGAATATCGACAAAAAAACTGCCCTTTTCTTGGGTTCTGAGCCTTCCCTACACCAGTTGCTTCCTTGGGACCATAAATTACTGGCAATTGGAGTTTTGAGGTTGAAAGCTTTCTGAATGCCTTGGCCTAAAAGAGAGAGAATGAGAATGTGTATGTATGTGTTTGTGTTTGTGTGGAGAGAGCGTGTGTGTGTGTGTGTGTGTGTGTTCATGTGTTCATATCTTTAAAACCATGGAGGCTTTGACTGTGAATTTGCCTTGTTCTCAAATTGGTGGCCAGTGAATATTGTGCGTGCCTCCCTTTTCATAGGATGTCTGAACATCAGCAGAACTGTGAAAGGGTTGTCTGCCCCGGTTTTTGGTGGATAGGTTGGATTAGAATAGATTGATTCAGTCATTTCTTTTTTTCTTTTTATAGGGTAGTGACTTCTTTGATAGTTTGCTTCAGAAGCTGCAGGTTACTTACAAGTTCAAACTGGAAGACTACATGGATGGTCTTGCCATTCGCAGCAAGCCATTACGCAAGACAGTAAGCTACCTTCTTTATGTATCTTAAATTTTCATTCATTTCGTAAGCGTTTATCTAGTGTTAGGTATGTGCTAGACACTGTACTGGGTGTTGAGGATAAAATAATGATACAGTTCAGTGCAGGGACAGATAGATTAAACCAACAATTGTAATGTCATATGTACTATGGTAGTGGTATATAGCAGTGCTCCCCAGCCTTTTTTCTTTCTTTCTTTCTTTTTTTTTTTTTTTTCATTTTTTGAGAAGGAGTTTCATTCATGTCACCCAGGCTGGAGTGCAGTGGTTTGATCTTGGCTCACTGTAACCTTCAACCTCTGCCTCCCAGGTTTAAGGGATTCTCCTCTGTCAGTCTCCCGAGTAGCTGGCGTTACAGGTGCCCACCACCAAGCCTGGCTAATTTTTCTATGTTTTGTAGAGACGGGGGTTTCATCATGTTGCCCAGGCTGGTCTCGAACTTCTGACCTTCGGTGAGCCACCCGCCTCAGCCTCCCAAAGTGCTGGGATTGCAGGCATGAGCCACCGGGCCTGGCCAGTCCCTAGCCTTTTTGGCACCGGGGACTAGTTTCATGGAAGACAGTTTTTCCATGGACGGAGATGTTGGGGCATTAGATTCTCATGAGGAGTGCATAGCCTAGGTCCCTCGCATGCTTAGTTCACAATAGGGTTTGCGCACCTGTGAGAACTAATACCGCTGCTGATCTGACAGGAGTTAGGGTTCAGGTGGTGATGCTTGCCTGCCCACCGCTCAGACCAGAGACTGGTACCAGTCCGCGGCCTGGGGGCTGGGGACCCCTGATATAGAGTGTTGAAGGGCCATAGGGAGAAGTGAATCTAACGTAGCCTGGTGGGGCCAAGGAAGGCTTCTTGGAGATTGTCAAGCTGAGTTTTGAAACATGACTAGGAGTTTGAAGGTGGGAGGGGCAGTTTAGATAGAGGGTCCAGCAAAAGAGAACCAGGCATTGTTGGGAAAGTGCAAGAACTTCAGTATGCTGGTGTTTGTAGTGTGGAGGGGGCTATTGTAGGTGGAAAAGCTAACAAAGTGGGAAGCGACTAGGTCATAAACTCTCATATGCTATGCCGAAGAGTTTGGACTTCATTCTGAAAGCACTGGGGAACCATTAATTGATTTTTTAGTAAATGGATAAGGTAGATTTGTTCTTAGAACCAGTCACTTGGGCAAATTGGTGAGTTTGAATGGGAGCTGGGCAAGAGTGGAGATAGAGGAGTCAGGTTGTAGGTCTGAACTAAGATAGAGGTCGTGGAGATGGGAAAGAGAAGACAGATTGGAAAGAAAGAAAGGAAATAGAATGGAATTGTTGACTGATTTGGTGTGAGGGATGAGATTGGAGGCATGAAGAGTCTGAATCATCTCCCAGCTGGTAGTCCAGGGGAGTGGCTGCAAAGGAAAGAGATTGGTTCAGGTTTGGATATGCTGATGTGGAGGTGTGTGTGTTACAGGAACTTGAAAGTGAACAAGTGAATATTGTGGTCTCTCTGGAGGTCAGGAGAAAGCTGGGCTGGTGATATAGATTCATGAGTCATCATGATACAGGTGGTGGTTGAAGCAAAAGTTGGGGTACTGGGAAGGCTGGCCAGAAACGGGGGTTACATTTCAAGGTGGGGGTAGGTAAAATTGTCAAGTGCAATGGAGCTGTCAAATGTTAAGATTACTAAAAAGTGTCCGTTGGATTGGATGAACTTATCAAGAGTTAATTTAGTTGGGGAAACTGGAAGCCGGATTGTAGTGAAGAGAGATAAAGCAGTAGAGATTGCCAGAGAGTAATATAGACCATTCTTTTAAGCATCTTGGCTGCGAAGACAAGGAGGGAAGACAGCTAAAAGAACATAGGGTTCTAAGAGAAGGTTTTTTGTTCTTTGTTTTTCGTTTTTTTTGTCTGTACCACGCCTGGCCAGTTTTTGTTTTAAGATTGGAAAGTTGAGCATATTTAGGAAGCAGTTAGAGATGCATTAGGGAGAGCAGCGTGATTTATGGAGCAGAGGCTTCCTCTTGCCTTTTTGCTCCTTCTACTACATACACACTTTCTTACTGATGGACAGATGTTTTTGGCTGGGCGCAGTGGCTCACTCTTTAATCCCAGCCCTTTGGGAGGCCAAGGCAGGCAGATCACCTGAGGTCAGGAGTTTGAGACCAGCCTGGCCCAACATGGCGAAACCCCCTCTCTACTAAAAATACAAAAATTAGCTGGGTGTGGTGGTGCATGCCTGTAATCCCAGCTACTCAGGAGGCTGAGACAGGAGAATCGCTTAAAAACCAGAAGGCAGTGGTTGCAGTGAGCTAAGACTGCGTTATTGCACTCTAGCCTGGGCAACAAAGTGAGACTCTATCTCAAAAAAAAAAAAAAGTGTTTATTGAGTTCCTCTTACATGCTTGGTGGTATTTTAGGCAGAGGCAATTCAGTGCAGATTGAAAAAAAACCGTGCTCCTGTTTCTTGGAGTTTAGTGTTTGATTGCTGGTGAGTACAGACTTTGGATGAGTAATTGCTGATGGAGTGACTTTTGCCAAGGATGTTGGGGGTGTATACTGTAAAGGGTTAACCTAGTTTTAAAGAATCCTGTGAGACTGAGAAAATCATAGTTAAACTAACGCTGAAGGCCGAAAGCTTCAGCCAGGTGAAGGTGTATGTGTAGATGCAAGGAGAGGAACATTTTAGGGGAAGAGGACAATATACTTAAAGGCCCTGAAGTGGAGAACACCGTGGTGTGTTAGGGGAACTTTGGAGTCTGGTCTGACTGAGGTACAGAAAGTGACCGGGAATATGGTGCTGATGAGGTAAGCAGAGGCTCAATCGTCCAGGACTTCATGCTGAGGCTGACGGAGAGCCTTTGAAAGAATTTGTTTTGTTTTGTTTTGTTTTTGTCTCTTACCAACATGACAAAGTGGATGTAGTATGGAGGCATAATCAGTTCTCTTTGTGCTTTATCAGTTAAATACAGAGGATTCTTAACACCTTTGGGGATGTTCATTCATAGAATCTGTGGAACAGTTAGGACTTGGGGTATGTGATATGTAGTCATTATAACTTTGCTGAGGTACAAATTTGAGTTATGTGCTAGGTAGGAGGTTAATGTGCAGTAGCTATTTCGCTTAGTGAGTGTGCCTTCCTGAGGGGTCAGTATCTTCTTCTCAATGAAGCTTTGTTCTTTATTCAGTGATATGTTAATTTCTTTTGTGTGGAGTGGAGTGGAATTATATTGTGTGCTGTGAGGTGGTGTTCCCTAGGGAGATATTTTGGGGGGCACATGCCTTGGGATTGGTTTACTCTGTTTTCTGAGTGACAGATGCCAAGCCAATCAGTGAGAAAACACATAGTCCTGCACAGTGTGTGGCACGTTGTTAATGTGTGATAAAGGACGATCCATTGTTTTAGGTGAAGGTAATGTAATGCCGTGGTACAATTCAGTGATGTTAACAGTTTGAAGAAAGACTATAATGATGGCAAAAAAAGTGGGTGGGCGTGATGGCTCACGCCTGTAATCCCAGCACTTTGGGATGCTGAGGCAGGCACATGGATCACTTGAGGCCAGGAGTTTGAGACCAGCCTGGGCAACATGGCGAAACCCTGTCTCTATTAAAAATAAAAAAATTAGCCAGGCATGGTGGCGCATGCCTATCATCCCAGTTACTCAGGAGGCTGAGGCACGAGAATCACTTGAGCTCAGGAGGTGGAGGTTGCAGTGAGCTGAGATCACGCCACTACACTCCAGCCTGGGCAACAGAGTGAGACGCTGTCTCAGAAATTATTAGGGGGGAAAAAAAAGAATAGAGTAAACAATTGTTTTCATATTTGTTTGTCTCTTTATAGTTTATAAAATATTTTTACATTTATTTCCTCCAGTTACCCTATAGAGTAGTTACTTTTACATTCAGGTGAAGAAACTGAGTCCCAGAGCATCTCAAAGACTTCCTTGAGATCCAACACTATTCCGTAGAGTCAGATCTCCTGACTACTAATATCAAAATATTTTCTTTCATTTGCCTGGGACTCAAGAATCACCCTCTCTCTTTCTCACTAAATTTTGTATCACACTGCTGACTGTTTTTTTGGTAGTCAGGTTTAGGCTGAAAACTTTATAGTTTGTTGTGTTTTTTTGGTAGTCAGGTTTAGGCTAAAAACTTTATACTTTGTTGAGGACCGCTAGTGCCTTACGAGTGCTACATTGTCATTTTCACCCCATCCCTGTCCTTTGAGGGTTGAAGTTAGTGTTTCTTGGCTTTTCTACTAACTGGTTGTTTTTCCTGAAGGTAAAATATGCCTTGATCAGTGCCCAGCGATGCATGATATGCCAAGGAGATATTGCTAGGTACCGGGAGCAAGCCAGTGATACAGCGAATTATGGGAAAGCACGCAGGTACTTTTACCTCTGCTTCGTTATTTCTCTTCCCTATGTGGCTCTAAGCTAAGCCTTACTAAGAGCAGTAGGCCATGTGGGTGTTGTACAGGTGTCCCTATTGGTCCCTGTAGTCATGCCTTACCCCTCCAGGGTTACATCTAACACTCTACCTTATGTTTTAAGTATTAGGGCTATCAGGATGAATTGGGAAAAAGCTAATCTGGAACTAGCATTTTCTTACTGTTTTTTCTGTTCTAGTTGGTACCTGAAGGCCCAGCACATTGCTCCCAAGAATGGGCGCCCCTATAACCAGTTGGCTTTGCTGGCAGTGTATACGGTAAGAAATCCTGTGGACAGGGGAAAAGTGCTTTGCAGGAAGTATCTTACAATATGGAGTTTGATAATATCAGTTCCTGGAGCTTCATTTCATCTCATCACTGTAGCCCAAAGAATATCCCCTCAAACTCCTTTTGTTACGGTTACTCTCAGAATTAAGTTGTCAGGGATTCCTCACTTCACTTAACTCTGTACTTCATCTCTCCACTTACCACTGCACTCAAATTCCTGAGGGAATGCTCATGCTCCAGCTAAACACCATTCTTTGTTTCTGACCAGAGCTGCCACTCTGAATTTTGTCTTGATTCTCTTCCCTTTCTGTTGAACTAGGCAACTCATTCTAGACGAAAAATAAGGCTTACTTCTCTCCCTTAAAGTTTTCACCTACCTCTAAGTAGTCAGATCTTTGCTTCCTTTCCCTAGACCCTGTTACTTCTTTTAACTTTTTATCTGAGGTGCCTCCTTAGCAGAAGCACAGTAAGCAGCAGGTTGTACCTCCCTAGGTCTAATCACTGTGCTCTAAATATGTCTGTAATGGAGAAGCGGGCCTTGGGAGCTGAGACAGCTCCTAGGGAGAAAGCTCAATTCAAGGGGGAAAGTGGGGACCAGTGGTAGGTACCAGAGGTTCCATCGTAAGAAACAAATAAGATGCTCATTAGCAAGGAGAAAATTGTCTCTCTCTTTTTTTTTTTTTTTTTTTAAGAGAGGCAGGGTCTTGCTCTGTCACCCAGGCTGGAGTGCAGTGACGCAAACTACTGGCTTAGGTGATCCTCCTGCCTCAGCCTCCCAAGTAACTGGGACTGCAGGCACACACTGCTGCACCCGGATGACAAGTATTTTTCTGTAGAGACGGGGTATTGCTTTGTTGCCCAGGCTGGCCTCAAAACACCTGGGCCGAAGTGATCCTCCAGCCTCAGCCTCCCAAGAAAATTCTTAATAATTATGGATTGAAATAGTTGATTAAGTAATGTGGTTTACTGAAACACTTCTTTCAGAATTGGTTGATCTCTCTCCGGTTTTTGCCTCTGTCTCATTCTCCGTGATGGGTTTATGGGATTTTTTTTCCCGCCCTCTTTGCAGCACTATTTTTTCTTCCCTTTTTCTCTATATCCGTCTTTTCCTGATTCCTTCTTTGTAATCGTTGAATGAACTGTTAATTAGAAAGTACAATTAACCATCACCTTTATCTAGTGTCAGAACATTTTCCTTTTTTTTTTTTTCTGAGACGGAGTCTCGCTCTGTCGCTCAGGCTGGAGTGCAGTGGCGCGATCTCGGCTCACGGCAAGCTCCGCCTCCCGGGTTCACGCCATTCTCCTGCCTCAGCCTCCCGAGTAGCTGGGACTACAGGCGCCCGCCACCACGCCCGGCTAGTTTTTTATATTTTTAGTAGAGACGGGGTTTCATTGTGTTAGCCAGGATGGTCTCGACCTCCTGACCTCGTGATCCGCCCGCCTCGGCCTCCCAAAGTGCTGGGATTACAGGCGTGAGCCACCGCACCTGGCCATGTGTCAGAACATTTTCATCACCCCAAAGGAGACCTGATACTTACGCTTTCCATCCCTGCCTCCCCTCAGCCCCTGACAACCACTAGTCTGATTTCTGTCTCTGTATCTTTACCTGTTCTGGATGTCTCACATAAATGGGATCATATAATGTATGACTTTTTGCAGTTCTCTAATGACACACGATGTTGAGCGTCTTTTCATATGCTTGCCATCTACATATCTTATTCAGTGAGGTGTTCAGATCTTTTGGCCCCCCCACTACTTTTTTGCCCATTTTTAAAATTGAGTTTTTTCCCTTATTTAAGAGTTCTTTATATATTTTGGTTACAAGTCCTTTATCAGGTGTGTGATTTGCATCTATTTTCTTCCAGACTGTGGCTTGTCTTCACATTCTTCAGCAGTGTCTTTTGCAGAGCAGAAGTTTTAAATTTTAGTGAAATCCATCTTACCAGTTATTTCTTTCATGGGTTATGCTTCTGGTGTTTTATTTAAGAAGTTGTCTTCACACCCACGGCTAGCTTAATGTTGTGTTATTTTCTAGCAGTTGTATAGTTTTATGTTTTACATTTAAGTCTGTAATACATTTTGAGTTAATTTTTGTGAAAAGTGTAAGGCTCGTGTATAGATTTATTGATGCAGGTGGATATACAGTTGTTCTAGCACCATTTGTTGAAATGACTGTCCTTTTACCATCGAATTGCCTTTGCTCCTTTGTCAAAGACCAGCTGACTATATTTGCATAAGTTTATTTCTGGCCTCTCTGTTCATCTATTTCTCTGTTCTTTGGTCAGTACCACACTGTCTTGGTTCCTGTAACTTTATTTATGTCTTGAAGTTCAGTAGTGTCAGTCTTCCACCTTTGTTTTTCAGTATTGTATTGGCTATTCTGGATCTTTTGCCTTCCCATGTAAACTTTAGAATCACTTTGTTGGTATCCACAAACCTAGTGAGTATTAAGTGATAACTCATTGTGGTTTTTTATTGGATTCTCCTAGCAACTAATGATGTGCATCTTTTCATGTGCTGATTTGCTATTGGGAGAAATATCTATTTCATTGCTCATTGAGAAAAATTTTAATTACATATATATATATATATATATATATGTATAAAATAATAATTATTTTTTTTTGAGATGGAGCCTCGCTTTGTTGCGCAGGCCGGAGTGCAGCGCTGCAGTAGTCTCGGCTTACTGTAACCTCCGCCTCCTGGGTTCAAGCTATTCTCCTGCCTCAGCCTCCAGGGTAGCTGGGATTACAGGTGCACACCACCAGCCCCTGCTAATTTTTTTGTATTTTTAGTAGAGATGGGGTTTCACCATGTTGGCCAGGCTGGTCTTGAACTTGTGACCTCAAGTGATCCACCTACCTCAGCCTCACACTGGGATTATATGCGTGAGCCACCGCACCTGGCAGTTTTAAAATTTTAATTGTAAAATACTCATAGAATTTATCCTCTTACCCACATATATATGTGTGTATATATATTTAAGAGATAGGATCGCACTCTGTCACCTAGGCTGGAGTGCAGTGACACAATCATAGCTCACTGCAGTCTCGACCTCCTGGGCTCAAGTGATCCTCCTGCCTTAGCCTCCTGATTAGCTGGGACTACAGGCACTCACCATCATACCCAGGTAATATTTTGATTTTTTGTATAGACAGGATCTCACTCCGTTGCCCAGGCAGGTCTTGGAACTCCTGGCCTCAAGTGATCCTCTTGCGTTGGCCTCCCAAACTGCTGAGATTACAGGCATGAGTCACTGCTCCCAGTCACTTAATTTTTTTTTTCTTTTTTTGAGGCAGGGTCTCACTTTGTCACCCAGGCTGGAATACAGTGGCATGACCTCAGCTCACTGCAGCCTCAACCTCCCAGGTTCAAGCTATTCTTCTGCCTCAGCCCCCCAAATAGATGCAACTACAGGTGCCCGCCACCACAGCTGGCTAATTTTTTTTTTTTTTTTTTTTTTGAGACAGAGTCTTGCTCTGTTGCCCAGGCTGGAGTGCAGTGGCGCAATCTCGGCTCACTGCGAGCTCCACCTCCCGGGTTCACGCCATTCTCCTGCCTCAGCCTCCCGAGTAGCTGGGACTACAGGCGCCCTCCACCACACCCGGCTAATTTTTTGTATTTTTAGTAGAGACGGGGTTTCACTGTGTTAGCCAGGATGGTCTCAATCTCCTGACCTCGTGATCCGCCCACCTCAGCCTCCCAAAGTGCTGGGATTACAGGCGTGAGCCACCGCGCCTGGCTGCTCACGCCTGGCTAATTTTTGTATTTTTTGTAGAGACGGGATTTCGCCATGTTATCCAGGCTGGTCTTGAACTCCTGAGCTCCTAAGTGATCTGCCCACCTCAGCCTCTCAAAGTGCTAGGATACAGGTGTGAGCCACCAGCCCTGCCTATCTTACCCACTTTTTTTTTTTTTTTAATTGAGAGAAGGTCTCTGTCACCCAGGCTGGAGTGCAGTGGCCTAATCTTGGCTCACTGCAACCTCTGCCTCCCAGGCTCAAGTGATCCTCCTACCCCAGCCTCCCAAGTAGCTGGGACCACAGGCGCATGCCACCCCACTTGGCTAAATTTTTTGTATTTTTAGTAGAGATTTGGTTTCACTATGTTGCTCAGGCTGGTCTTGAACTCCTGACTTCAAGCTAGCCACCTGCCTCAGCCTCCCAAAGTGCTGGGATTACAGGCATGAGCCACCACTCCCGGGCTGTCTTGCTCTTTTTCTTTTTTTTGTGATGGAGTCTCGCTCTGTGGCCCAGGCTGGAGTGCAGTGGCACGATCTTGGCTCACTGTAACCTCCACCTCCCGGGTTCAAGTGATTCTCCTTTCTCAGCTTCCTGAGTAGCTGGGACCACAGGCTTATACCACCACGCCTGGCTAATTTTTGTATTTTTAATGCAGATGGGGTTTCACCATGTTGGCCAGGCTGGTCTCGAACTCCAGACTTCAGGTGATCCACCCACCTTGGCCTCCGAAAGTGCTGGGATTACAGGCGTGAGCCACCATGCCCTGCCTGTCTTACCCATTTTTAAGTGTAGCTTCAGTAGCATTACGTACATTCATATTGTAGTGTAACGAACCTCCAGAATGCTTTTCATTTTACAAAACTGGAACTCCATATCTATTAAATAACAGCTCCCACTTCTCTCTTCCCACAACCTCTGCAACTAACCTTCTGCTTTCTGTCACTATGAATTTGGCTACTCTAGGTACCTCATATAAGTGGAATTATACAGTATTTGTCCTCTTGTGACTGGCTTATTTCACTTAGCTTAGGTCCTCAAGGTTCATCCATGTTGTAGCATGTGTCAGAATTTCCTCCTTTTGGAGGGTGAATTACATTTCATTGTGTATATATACCACATTTTATATGTACGTTCACCCATTGATGGATACTTGGATTGCTTCCATCTGTTGGCTATTGTGAATAATGCCACAGTGAACATGGGTGTTCAAATAAAATCTCTTCAAGACCCTGCTTCCAATTCTTCTGGGTACATACCCAGAAAACGAATTACTAGATCATTTGGTAATTCTGATTTTAGGTTTTTAGAACAACCATATTGTTTTCCATAGCAGCTACACCATTTTACATTCCAACCAACAGCATGCAAGGCTTCTGATTTCTCCACTTCCTTGCCAACACTTGTTATTTTCTGCATTTCTGATAGTAGCCATCGTAGTGGTGGTGAGGTGATATCACATTATGGTTTTAATTTATGTTTCCCTAATGATGAGCATTTTTTCATATGCACATTGGTCATTTGCATATCATCTTTGGAGAAATGTCTATTCAAGTCCTTTGTCCATTTAAAAATTGTTATTTTAGCCGGGCCCAGTGGCTCACGCCTGTAATCCCAGCACTTTGGGAGGCCGAGGCGGGCGGATCACGAGGTCAAGAGATTGAGACCACGATGAAACCCCGTCTCTACTAAAAATACAAAAAATTAGCCAGGCGCAGTGGCAGGCGCCTGTAGTCCCAGCTACTGGGAAGGCTGAGGCAGGAGAATGGCGTGAACCCGAGAGGCGGAGCTTGCAGTGAGCCAAGATCACGCCACTGCACTCCAGCCTGAGCGACAGAGCGAGACTCTGTCTCAAAAAAAAAAAAAAAAAAAAAAAAAATTATTTTATGTTTTGTGTTGTCAAGATGTATGAGTTCTTTATATATTCTGGATGCTAGACCTTTATTAGATACATAATTTGCAAACATTTTCTTCCATTTTGTGGATTGTCTTTTCATTCTGCTGAGAATATCTTTCGATGCACAAGTGTTTTTTAATTTTGCTGAAGTCCAGTTTATCTTTTTTTCTTTTGTTCCTTTCACTTTCGATGTCATAGCTATGAAACCATTACCAAATCCAAGGTTTGGAAAATTTACCTCTACGTTTTCTTCTTAGAGTTTTAGACTTTTACCTCTTATATTTAGGCCTTTGATTAATTTTAGGTGAATTTTTATATATAGTATGAGGTAAAGGTCCAACTTCATTCTTTTACATGTGGTTATTACATTCTCTCAGCACCATTTGTTGAAGAGACTGCTCTTTCTTCATTGAATGGTCTTGGTTCCCTTGTAAAAAGTCACTTTATATGTGGGTTTTTTCTGAGCTCTCAGTTTTCTTCCATTGATTTATATGTCAGTCCTCATGCCAGTACCACAGCTGTGTTAGTTACTGTAGGTTTGTGGTAAGAAAAATTGGGAAATGTGAGTCCCCTAACTTCGTTTTTTTTTTTTTTTTTTGGCCATTTGAGGTCCCTTGTAATTATGTATGGATTTTAGGGTCAGCTTTTTCATTTTTGCAAAATCATTGGAATTTTGATAAGGTTGCACTGAATCTGTAGATTGCTTTGGGAAGTATTGCCATCTTCAAAATATTAAGCCTTCTAATTCATGAACACAGGGTGTCTTTTCATTTACTTCGTTCTTTAATTTCTTTTAACCCTGTGTATAATAAGTTTTGCACTTCCTTGGTTAAATGTATTCCTAAGTATGTCATTCTTTTTGATGCTTTTGCAAAAGGAATTGTTTTCTTTTTTTTCTCTGTCTTTCTCTCTATTTTTTTAGACAGGGTCTTGGCCAGGTGGGGTGTCTGACCCCTGTAATCCCAGCACTTTGGGAGGCTGAGGCAGGCGGATCACTTGAGGTCATGAGTTCCAGACCAGCCTGGCTAACTTGGTGAAACCCCATCTCTACTAAAAATATAAAAATTAGCCAGGTGTGGCAGCACACACCTGTAGTCCCAGCTACTCGGGAGGCTGAGGCGGGAGAATTGCTCAAATCCGGGAGGTGGAGTTTGCAGTGAGCTGAGATCATGCCACTGCACTCCAGCCTGGATGACAGAGCGAGACTTCGTCTCAAAAAAGAAAAAAAAAAAGAAAAGAGGGTCTCACTGCGTTGCCAAGGCTGGTCCTGAACTCCTGGCTTCAAGTGAGCCTCCTCCCTCTGCCTCCTAAAGTGCTGGGATTATAAGCCTGAGCCATTGGGCCTAGCCAGAAATTGTTTTCTTAATTTCTTTTTTTTCAGATTGCTCATTGCTAGTATATAGAAATGTAACTGAATTTCGTGTGTTGATCTTGTATGTTGCAACTGTGCTGAATTCCCTCAATGGCTTTTTGTCATTTGAATTAAATTTTCTTTTTCACAGACCTCTGACCTAGATTCGCACTTTCTTCAAGTTCTTTTCCTCTATCCCTCTTTTTTCTGTCTGTCTCATCTTAGTTGTCTGTTAGCAACATTTTCCCAACTTTTCTGCCAATTCCAATCAGTCAGTCATTCTGTCTCTTCCAATCAGTGAATCTCAGGTATTTATTGAGAACACAACACGTGTACAGTAGTGCTTTTCTAGGTGCCAGGAATGATAAAATATTGACTTGCTTTCTTCCCTGAAAAAAAAAATGTGTTGAGAAAACAAGTGAGCTGTATAGACAGTGATGCAAATTAGACTTGATAAATATGTAATTGATTGTTAGATGCACCATTATCTTCTGTTCCACTAAGAAAAATGCTGCAAATTAAAATAAGACATAACAATAGATACCGATTGTAAGTTGTATCTCTGTTTTGGAAATTTTTTCATATGAAAAAATATTTTATAGAATTAATATAATACAGTCTCAAATCAGGTGAGTAGTGTAGATAGAAATTAGTATGGATTGGAATAATAATAAAAATAGCTACCAAGTAACTGTAATGGTGTGCCAAATATTCTGTTAAACTATATGCATTATATAATTTTAATCTTTTTGGGAGCCATATGTTGTAAACATTTCCATTTTGCAAATAAGGAAACCTCTCTAGGTTAACGTGCTGTGTCATACCTAATAAATGCAAGACCGAATTCAGACTCAGGCACTGACCTTAGAACCTGCACCTCTAGCCATGCCAGGTGAATATAAGATAGGAGTTTTGAAGAATGGGTAGACGCTGGGGAGAGAGAGAAGCTAGCATTTTAAATGTATTTTGAAACAGTTATGGAAAACATTGAAAATGTACATGAAGTTGGAGAAAAAGTGAGAAAGCCTTTTGGATATTCTTTCTGCCTTTGTTTCAATGTTTTCCTTTTTCCTTCTTTCTGACCCACTTCCTTTTTCTTTACTTCTTCTTTTCCCTATTAATTGCTTATAAATAGACTTGCTGAATTTCTTGAATAATATCCATAAAATGTTCAACTCAGCTACTTATTTATTTTAAAAAATTATCAATAACAATGGCAACATCATTGATTAAGTACAGTTAAGTGTGAGACAGTGGACAACACTTTGTAAACCTGAGGATACTCCTCCATTGGGTATTATTACTCCCATTGTAATGTTGAGGATATAGGAACTCAGGAAGATTATTACATAATAATGTAATAATCTTGGAGTCTTTTGTCCAAAGTTTCCGAGTCAACTCCTGGATTAGCCAGTATTTGGACCAAGGTCTGTCTGGCTTGTAATTTCGTGATTTCATTATAGCATACTGACTCTCTGATAAGAACAGGAAATATAAAGTGAATTGAACATCATGCTTTTTCTAAGAACAAGATGTAATTTCTGTTTATATTTTAAGAGCCTGTTTATTCCTTTCTCTCCTTATGAGTACTTGGTTCTTGGAGCACCTCTGCATGTAAGATATAATACTGTGCAAGAAGAGATCTGTGATGTAATTGCAATGGCTTCTCCTGTGGATAGCATTTCTGATTTTGTTGTTGGGATTCCTCTCAGTTTGGGAGACAGGCTGGGAGAGATAGTAGGGTTTCCTGAGTCAGCTGCCTCTTGCTGGAGTTAGGACGAGAATTGGTTGACTGAATGTCTCTGGCCTCTTTCCACAGAGGAGGAAGCTTGACGCTGTCTATTACTATATGCGCAGTTTAGCTGCCAGCAACCCTATCCTGACTGCCAAGGAGAGTCTCATGAGCTTGTTTGAAGAGACCAAGCGGAAGGTGAGTGGGGATGTGGCAGAACCCTTCCTTCCTCGAATAGTGCATTTCCCTGAGTGTTGGTGTGCCCTAGCTCTGCGCACCGGCAGGATCGTAGCCAGTGAGGTTTATCCAAGGTGCAGTTATTGCTCAGTGTCTGTGTGTCCTCGGGGAATGACTCATAGTGTCCTTAAATGGTCCCATCAGACTGTGCTGGTGGGTAGTTGGTCAGCCCCTGTGCAGAACAAAACTGTGATCTTCAGGAGAGCTTTCAGGGGCCCTTGGATGTACATGTACGTGCTCTACAGCCTTCAGTCTACAGAATTAATAACTATATGAAACAAAGCAGATGACACTCTGCTACTTTGGGACTGTGGTACAGTATTTTTATTGTCAAATAAATACCGGTGAGGTGAGGCTTTTCTCTTTGTAAGCTGAGTCTCAGGAAAGTCTGAGCTCATGTGTGTTTTTTGTTTTTGAGACAGAGTTTCGCTCTTGTTGCCCAGACTGGAGTGCAGTGATGCGATCTTGGCTCACTGCAACCTCTGCCTCCCGGATTTAAGTGATTCTCATGCCTCAGCCTCCCGAGTAGCTAGGATTACAGATATGCGCCACCACACCCAGCTAATTTTGTATTTTTAGTAGAGACAGGGTTTCACTATGTTGGTCAGGCTGGTCTCAAACTCCTGACCTCAAGTGATCCGCCTGCCTCCGCATCTCTAAGTGCTGGGATTACAGGCGTGAGCCACCACACCAGGCCATGAGCTAATGTGTTTGTATGTTATATAGGCAGAACAGATGGAAAAGAAGCAACATGAGGAATTTGACCTGAGCCCTGACCAGTGGCGGAAAGGAAAGAAGTCTACTTTCCGGCATGTTGGAGATGACACCACTCGCCTGGAGATCTGGATTCATCCATCCCATCCACGGTCTTCCCAGGGCACTGAGTCTGGGAAGGATTCTGAGCAAGAGAATGGGCTGGGCAGCCTGAGTCCCAGTGATGTAAGTTCCTGAGAATGATGCAATGAGCCAAACTAGCTCAGTAAGCCTGGGTGCCCTGGTTCATACAGCTGTGAGGCACAGATACTTCCCACTGATTGCAAGGAAGACAAACCACTTGAGGCTCCCTGATGGTCTTTTCCCTTCTCATGTACGCTTCCTTTATCTTTATTATGTACTTCCCTCTCTCACCACTATGTGTCACTGCAGAATTTAGTAAAAGTAGGATTAGAATTTTTTTTTTTTTTTTTTTTTTTTTGCTGCTTTTTGTTCAGCGTCATCAACATGATGCTTTAGGATTCTATGTGGGATTTTGTACTTATCTTTTCCTCTTGGTTGACCTTATATTCCGAGAATGAACTAAAGTAGCATGGATAGGTTAGTTAGTCTGATTTGTGATGGGCTTTCTATGGGATATCCTCTTATAACTCTTGGGCGGGGACTTTTTCCTTTAAGCCAGGAGAAATGACAGTAGAAAAATCACAGGCTTGTTTAGAAGATTTCTCCTCTTCATTGACTCAGTAAGTAATTATCGACAGTGTGCCAGTCACTAAAGATAACAGTGAACAAGATCTCTTGCTGTCTCAGTGCATTCTAGTGGAGGACGCAAGAGACTTAACATTGTAATTACTTCTGTTTTTGGGGTGCACACCCAGTATATGAGAGCACATAGCCATGGGACCAAAGCAGCCATTGGTCAATTGAAGTATAAAGAACAAGTAGGAGTTAGCTTGAGAAGGAAAGGGAGGTGGTAAAGTGATTCCCAGGCAAAGGAAATAGCATATGCAAAGGGCTGAGGCTGGCTGGGGGAGAGAGAGCACGGTAGGTGGAAAACTGCAGTGGCTGGTTCGTTGCGCCTTAAGGGTAAAATTCACCCAGTGGGTGGTGTAAGCTGGGGCTAGATGTTGAAGGGTCATATGATAAATTATTTGACCTTTATCCTGAAAATAGTAGGAAGCTATTGGATGCTTTAAATAGGGGAATAACATCTGCTCTTCAGAAATAAACCCTGGCCGCTTTGTAAAATGTTTGGAGAAGAGTAAGACTAGAAATAGGAGACAAGGAGGGTGCTGCGGTAGTTCCAAGTGAGATATGAAAAAGACTTGAACCAAGAAATGGCTTTGGAGGTGGGAAGAAGTGAACAGACACAAGTCATATTATTACAGTAGAATCCAAAAGACTTGGTTGAACGTGGGGAGCTCAGGGAGAAGAAAGAGTCAAGGTCTGGTGTGGTGGCTCCCATCTGTAATCCCAGCACTTTGGGAGGCCAAGGCAGGAGGTTCGCTGGAGCCTAGGAATTCAGTACCAGCCTGGTCAACAAAACGAGGCTTCTGTCTCTGTAAAAAAATTTTCAAAATTGGCTGGGCATGGTGATGCGGGCCTCTAGTTCTAGCTACTCAGGAGTCTGAGGCAGGAGGATTGCTTGAGTCCAGGAGTTCAAGGATGTCATGAGCTATGATCCAGCGTAGGTGCCAGAGCAAGACCCTGTCTCAAAAAAGTCAAGAATGAGCCCAAGAGCGTCAAGGCTGCACCACTGCACTGCAGCCTGAGTGATGAGTGAGACTCTGCCTTCCAAAAAATAAATGAATACAATCAAAAACAGGGTCGGTCTCTGTTGCTCAGGCCAGAGTGCAGTGATGCGATCGAAATCCTGAGTTCCAGTGATTTTCCTGCCTCAGCCTCCTGAGTTGCTAGGACTACAGGCACATGCCACCACACCCAGCTAATTTTTTGTAGCGATGGAGACTTGCCCTGTTGCGCAGGCTGGTCTCAAACTCCTGGCCTCAAGCAGTCCTCCCGTGGCCTCCCAAAGATCTGGGATTACAGGCATGAGGTGTATCATGTCTGTCCCATTTTATTTCTAATTATACAAATAATAGATGAATATATTTTTGGTAAAAACTTTAAATTCTTGTAGGTAGACTACAACGTGGTAATTTGTTTTCTAAACTATTGATGAAACTATATATTTTTAGTTTGTACATCATCCTTGGGTAACTATTACCCTTAATTTTCTTTAAATTTAAATCTTTGAGTTTGAGCTTTTCATTTTAGGCTACCAGCCCTCGAAGAAATCTGCAGTTTCTGGCCTGACGCGGTGGCTTACGCCTGTAATCCCAGCACTTTAGGAGGCCGAGGCGAGCAGATCACAAGGTCAGGAGTTCGAGACCAGCCTGGCCAACATGGTGAAACCCTGTCTCTACTAAAAATGCAAAAAAATTAGCTGGGCGTGGCAGCGCACTCCTGTAATCCCAGCTACTCGGGAGGCTGAGGCAGGAGAGTTGCTTGAACCCGGGAGGCGGAGGTTGCAGTGAGCCGAGATCGTGCCACTGCACTCCAGCCTGGGCAAAGAAGCCAGACTTTGTCTCAAAAAAAAAAGAAAAAGAAATCTGCAGTTTCATAACTTTTCATTTATCTATCCAGGAAACCACACTGCCATTTTTACCTGCTTTCTTAGGCCCAAGTTAGCTTCCTATATTCTTTTTTTTCTCTCACAGTAGGTCCCAAGAGCTTAGCTTGCTTTCTCTGTTCCTTGGAACACACACATTGATAAGAAGTAAGCATTGAGGATAGAGAAATTAAAATAACCAAAAATGATTTTTAACCTCAAAGAGCACTTGGTCACGTGAGGAAGACATAGGTGTGTCATTATAGTTCCGTGTGGTAAGTACTGTGATAAAGGCAAGCATGAGAGGCCGTGGGAGCATGCAGTTGGAACACCTAATCCAGTCATGGTTAGGGAAGGCTGGGGCGAGGCCGCATTTTGCAGCTTAAAGATGTCGTAAAGGCATTTCTACTTGGAGGCATGAAAATGTGGATGAGGCATGGAGGCTTCAGGAACTGCGAGTAGTTCAGTATGGCTGGAGTCTAGAGTGTGAGAAGTTCTCCTGTGAGCGACTGGAGTCGTGCTTGACATGTTCCTTTCCTCTGTCCCCACATCCAGTCAGTACCACCTGGTATTAGGAGGTGGATACTGTTGAGTCCACCTCCTAATCGTAACTTGAAGCCATCCACTTCTCTCCTTTCTCATTGCTGCCATCGTAGTTCAAGCTATCACCATTTCAGTAATCCATATACTATGGAAAGAAGTTCATAATGGTCTTTTCAGATTTATTCCTGGTCCTCTTCTGGCCTTTCATTTTAGACAGTAACCCAAATGAATGAACTTCCAAATATCCATTTCTGATCATGCCACTGCCTTCTTGAAAGTGTTTAGTTATTTCTGTGTGCTCTTACAATCAGGTCTAAAATCCTCGACATAGTCCACTAGGCTCCTCATGATCTGGCTCCTGCTACTTCAAATCTTACACTTTTCATACTTTTCTTCCTTTGTTACTGTATTCCAGCCACACTGGCTTCTTCCTTGAAGGATCCAAGCTCTTTTCTGGCTCCTGGCTGTTGTTCATCTCTCTGCCCGCACCGCTCTTACCTCTCACTGGTATTTCTGCCTTTATCAGTCACTTTCTTTCTTACCCTTCAGGTCTCAGCCTAAATGTCACGTTTTCAAGGAAGCGTTTCCTGATCCCTGAGACTGGCCATTTCGCCTTTGTAATAACCACATTTCTGGTTTAAGTGCTTTTAAGTGTAGTTTTGTGCAGATCTTTCCCTTGCTAGATTGAAGGCCCTGTGAGAGTAGAGTCATATCTAGTGTGTTCACTTCTTTGTCCCCAGTGTCTGCATATGGAAGATTCTAAATAAATCTTAGTTGATACGCGAATGAGGGGAAGGGCAGCGAGGGATGAGGCTAGAGAAGATAGCAGGGGCCAGGTCCTTCATAAATATTTTGAAGTTTGGCTGTCAGGTATTGAGGGCTTTTAATTTTTTTGGAGTTGTGTTGGTCATGTTTAAAAATTGATATATAATAATTGTACATATTTATGGGCTACATGTGATATTTTTATACGTGCACAGAATGTGTAATGATCAAATCGGTATTTAGAATGTCTGTCACGTCAAACATTAGTCATTTAGGTACTAAGGATTTTAAGCAGAGGGATGATATAATTGGATTTCTATAATGATCACTCGTTCCAATACTTCCAGTACTGGAACAAATTTATTTTGTTTTAAAAGGAACTTTTCAAGTTGCATAACTAATAACAATTCATTGTCTCAACATTAAACAGTAATGTATATATAGTTTAGGCTGGGTACGGTGGCTCACGCTTGTAATGCCAGCACTTTGGGAGGCCGAAGCGGGCCAATCACCTGAGGTCAGGAGTTTGAGACCAGCCTGGCCAACATGGTGAAACCCCATCTGTACTAAAAATACAAAAAAGTTACCTGGGCATAGTGGTGTCTGCCTGTAATCCCAGCTACTCGGGAGGCTGAGGCAAGAGAATCGCTTGAACCCGGGAGGCGGAGGTTGCAGTGAGCCAAGATTGCACCATTGCACTCCAGCCTGGGCGACAGAGGGAGACTTTGTCTCAAAAAAAAAAAAAAAAGTATATATAAAGTGGCAGTCACTTGTATTCTTTCCTTCGGAGACATCACTATTAACTGATTGATGTCCTTCCAGACCTTTTTCTAAGCATTTATAAGTGTATACGTGTATGCACATACCTGTAAAAACATGAAATGCATTATAAAATTTTTTTTTGAGAGATAGGATCTCCCTCTGTTTCCCAGGCTGGGGTGCGGTGGCATGGTCACGGCCCACTGGAGCCTCTATTTCCTGGGCTCAAGTGATCCTCCTGCCTTAGTCTTCTGAGTAGCTGGGACTGCAAGCATGCGCCACCATGCCTGGCTAATTTTTTAAGAATGTTTTGTAGAGATGGGATTTCCTTATGTTGCTTAGGCTGGTCTCAAACTTTTAGGCTCAAGTGATCCTCCCACCTTTGCCTCACAAAATGTTTGGATTATAGGTGTGAGCCACCAAGCCTGGCTGAAATACATTTTTTAACAAAAAGGAGGATAGTACTATGTATAACAATCTGCAACTTACTTTTTAAAATTATTATTTGAACATAAATTATTCCTGCTATAATGCAATATATACATTCCTAAAAATTGCTGTGCTGTGCAAAATCATGCAATAAAAACCACACAGGGCTTATGCAGAAAATGGAGTTAGGAGCACAAACCTCAAAAACTTTCTCAGTGACATAGTGAAAAAGATAGGAGCCTGATTTAAAACTGTTGTACAATTTTATACATGTGAAATGGTTAAGAAATACGTAAATATGGCCGGGCGTGGTGCTTACGCCTGTAATCCCAGCTCTTTAGGAGGCCAACGCGGGCGGATCACGAGGTCAGGAGATCGAGACCATCCTGGCTAACACGGTGAAACCTCGTCTCTACTAAAAATACAAAAAGTTAGCCGGGCATGGTGGCAGGCACCTGTAGTCCCAGCTACTCGGGAGGCTGAGGCAGGAGAATGGCGTGAACCCGGGAGGCGGAGCTTGCAGTGAGCCGAGATCGCGCCACTGCACTCCAGCCTGGGTGACAGCGAGACTCTGTCTCAAAAAAAAAAAAAATAAAAAATAAATAAATAAATAAATAAATAAATAAATAAATGTGTAAATACTACATTAAACATAGCACTTTACCTTGAAAAAGACATAAAGTAGGCCGGGCGCAGTGGCTCATGCCTGTAATCCCAACACTTTGGGAGGCTGAGGCAGGCGGATCACTTGAGGTTGGGAGTTCGAGACCAGGCTGACTAACATGGAGAAACCCCATCTCTACTAAAAATACAAAATTAGCCAGGCGTGGTGGCGCATGCCTGTAATCCCAGCTACTCAAGAGGCTGAGGCAGGAGAATCACTTGAACCCGGGAGGTGGAGGTTGCGGTGAGCCGAGATTGTGCCATTGCACTCCAGCCTGGACAATAAGAGGGAAACTCCATCTCAAAAAAACAAAAAGACATACAGTTGGCATGTGGAAGTGGACTTGGGAAGGGTTACGGCTTGTGAGTTACTGTGAAGTGGTAGAAGGAGGGTTACTTAAAATTTGATGGACAGAGGCCAGGTGCAGTGGCTTACGCCTGTAATCCCAGCACTTTGGGAGACCGAGGTGGGTGGATCACCTGAGGTTGGAAGTTCGAGACAAGCCTGACCAACATAGTGAAACCCTGTCTCTACTAAAAACACAAAAAATAAGCTGGGTGTGATGACGTATGCCTGTAATCCCAGCTACTCTGGAGGCTGAGGCGGGAGAATCACTTGAACCTGGAAAATGGAAGTTGTAGTGAGCCAAGATCGCACCATTGCACTCCAGCCTGGGCAACGAGCAAAACTCAAAAACAAAAAAAAAACGTTTGCTGGACAGTTGTAACAGCAGATGTGGATAGGCCTGGCTCCTAACATGATCCTGTGGTGAACTGGGGTAGCTGTAGATGTTTGGGGTGTGTGCGTGTGTATGCTTTGTGTATTCCTGTGCAGCTTGATTCAACTGGATGCAGTTCTCTGTGTTACCTGGTGTTTCTTGTAAACAAAATCACACATAAGGAAAGGCAAAGTTTGTGTTATGCCCAAATTGTTCGTTTATGTATTTATGGCAATGAAACAAATTCTCATTTTCAAAATGAACATTATAGCAGAACTGGGTGATTAGCCTTAATTGGAATTGTTCCTTTGACAACTCCTAGAGAATTTCTAATACAGACTGCTTAAATTTAGATCCATGAGTAAACAGAAAGTTTGGCTTCAGGTGGTTGTTAGTAACAGTGGTAACATCCCAACTAGTCTGTTCTCTGCCAAGCATTTGCTTTGGATCTTTCTCTCTCTGAATGGTTGCAGGAGGTTAGCTTGTGGGTTGTTGGTTTTTAGTCTTGAGATGTGGTTTGGGTTGAACATCCAGCCTGGGGAGGGATTGCCAGCCTCAACTGCAAGTAGCATCCTATTGAGATTCACATTTCAACTCTTCCACCTGCCAGCCAGGACCCTCCAAATCCACGTTGCCAGGGTTCTGGGCATTTGTTATTTAGTGGCTATATCTTCTGCTGTTCTTCGTCTCCCTTTAGAAACGGGGTACTGCTTGTCAACTGGGTTGTTGCTGACAGTCAGGGAGTTAAGGATATTAAATTACAGCATCAGAAATCATTTTCACACTGAAAAGCAAGGGTCTCTGATAGAACTGCTGAGGATTTTTTAGATCTGATTGTTTTGTTATCAGCATCTTGAATAGAATGTAATACATGTCTGTCTGCTGGGGAAGAAAGCATATAGGATTGGGAGTGGTTGATAGATGATAGACTGATAGACTTATTTTAATTTTGTTTTGTTTTGTGACAGAGTCTCGCTCTGTCTCCCAGGCTGGAGTGCAGCGGCGTGATCTCAGCTCACTGCAGCCGCCACCTCCTGAGTTCAAGTGATCTTCCAGCCTCAGCCTCCTGAGTGACTGGGATTACAGGCACGCACCACCATGCCCAGCTGATTTTTGTATTGTTAGTAGAGATGGGGTTTCACCATGTTGGCCAGGCTGGTATTGAACTCCTGACCTCAAGTGATCCACCCACCTTGGCCTGCCAAAGTGCTGGGATGACAGGCGTCAGCCACCATGCCCGGCTCGTATTCTTTATATATGTAGGAAGGAGCACAACCCTTAAAACACTTCCTCAGTGACATAATTAAAAAGATAGGAACCTACATAATTAGGTTTCTACCTTTTTTATGCTCACGCCTATTTTTTTTTTTTTTTTTGCCCATGCTTTTTTATGCTTATTCCATCCATTATGCTTTGCTAAATATGTGGAGATAAGGTCTTGCTATGTTGCCTGGGATGGTCTCAAACTCCTAGGCTCAAGCAGTCCTCCCACCTCAGCCTTCCAAAGTGTTAGGAATACAGGTCTGAGCCACTGCATGTGGCCAATAGGTGTTTGTCTCTGAAACTTGAGTGAGTCTTCCTGCCGTGGAATGATTTGGTTTACCATTGCCAGCATTTTCTCCAAGCCACTGTGACTATTCCTGCAACATGCTTGGTGCTGATTGTAGCAAATAATGTCTTTAGACAAGAGAAATGCCATTGTATATTTGGCCAAGCTCTTGTCAAACCTTCCTTCTCCTTGGCCTCTTTGAATGTTTTGTGGTTCAGTCTGGACTGTACCATAGAAGCTCCTAATCTCTGTTATCCAAATAGAATGTAATACGTGTCTGTCTGTTTTCCTTTTTCTCTATCTTCACCCAACAAATGATTTTGTTTACCTTGTTCTCTCTCCTTTTGCTCTTCTTCCTTCTGTTACATATCATTATCTATTTTATTTATTTGCATAATGTCTTTTTTCAGGACTTGTTCAGGTCTGGAGAATTTAATGCAGTTGCCCCTGAGTTTTTGGAGTAGAAGACCATGTTCTGGGCTCAGTGCTTAAGTAGACTAAAGTTTACCTGTTCTGTTGTGCCAGTTTTGTGCTAGGATTGTAAAGATGAATACACTATTGTTACTTTCTCTGATTGTGTAGTCTAGTGTATAGGTCAGCAAACTTTTTCTATGAAGGGCCAGATAGTAAATTACTTTATAGGGCATATGTTCTTTGTTGCCACCACTCACCTTTACTGTTGTACCACCAAAGTAGCCATGGACAATATGTAAATGAATGAGCATGACTGTATTCCATTAAAACTTTATTTACAAAGACAGATGGTGGATTGAATTTGGCCTGTGGGCCTAGTTTGCCAACTTCTGTTCCAGTGGAAGAAATGGTTACATAAATAGAATACAGTAAACAGTTGATTCTTGTTATTTGTGGTGGTTATGTTCTATACATTCAATAAATTCACCACAAACACTGAATTAGTGAATAGTGGATTGTTGCTCCTAAGGGAAATACAGAATTACATTCCTTCAAGCCTCTGATCACAACATTTTAATCAACTGGTCAATATATAACCTTGCTTTTTTTGGGTTTTTTTTTTTGAGACACAGTCTCACTCTGTTGCCCAGGGTGGAGTGCAGTGGCGCGATCTCTGCTCACTGCAACCTCTGCCTCCCAGGCTCAAGCGATTCTTGTGCCTTAGCCTCCTGAGTGGCTGGGATTATAGGTGTGCGCCTGGCTAATATTTATTTATTTATTTGTTTTTGAGACAAAGTCTCACACTGTTGCCCGGGCTGGAGTGCAATGGCACAATCTCTGCTCGCTGCAACTTCCGCCTCCCCGGTTCAAACGATTCTCCTGCCTCAGCCTCCCGTGTAGCTGGGACTACAGGCACCCGCCACCATGCCTGGCTAATTTGTGTATTTTGGCCAGGCTGGCCTCAATCTCCTGACCTCGTGATCCACCCGCCTCGGCCTCCCAAAGTGCTGGGATTACAGGCGTGAGCCACTGTCCCCAGCCACGCCTGGCTAATTTTTATATTTTGAGTAGAGCCAGGGTGTCTCTGTGTTGTCCAGGCAGGTCGTGAACTCCTGACCTTAAGTGATCCGCCCACCTCAGCCTTCCAAATTGCTGGGATTACAGGCATGAGCCACCACACCTGACCAGTTATATAACCTTGTTTTATGTGGGTTTCTGTTTAAAGACACCTTATTTAATATATATTATTAATTCATTAACAGAGAGCTCACTGCCTAACAGCACTATAACTCATAGCTGAATGAGGCTTATCTAATACACATTTTCCCTGTAAAACACATCACAGCCTTCTTGCACTTAGGGAGTCACACACTTCGGCACACTCCCCAAGCACAGTGGTGTGGGGGCCACGTGAGACAACAAAATCACCAACAAAAATCTCAGAAATGTGATACTAAATACACCATGAAAAGGACACTTTTTTTTTTTTTGAGACAGAGTTTCTCTCTGTCCCCCATGCTGGAGTGCAGTGGCGTGAACTCAGCTCCTCCGCCTCCTGGGTTCACGCCATTCTCCTGCCTCAGCCTCCCGAGTAGCTGGGACTACAGGCGCCCACCACCACACCCGGCTAATTTTTAGTATTTTTAGTAGAGATGGGGTTTCACCGTGTTAGCCAAGATGGTCTCGATTTCTTGACCTCATGATCCGCCTGCCTCGGCCTCCCAAAGTTCTGGGATTACAGGCATGAGCCACCGTGCCCGGCCAAGGACACTTCTAAGTATGACCTGAAATACGAAGGCAGAGAGTTGCTTTTTCTGACCTTAGTTAGCTAGGAACATGCACCTCAGGTGACTCAAATTTTGTGCTGCTCTGTGCATGTCTAGGAATGACTGTGAAAGCATCATGAGTAGTGATTTGGGGGTTACAAGTAAGTTTTAGCAAGTAAGTGAATTCACAATGCAAAATCCATGAACAATGAAGGTTGATTGTATTGTGGTGGGTGCCAGGAGGGAGGTATGTATTGGGTACTGTGGAAGCACAGAGAGAGGCTCTTGGTCCAGCCCTGGCAGAGGCATGGTTTGGGGTGAGGAGAGAGGAAAGTGAATTCAGAAGGCTTCCTGGAAAAGTTAACTGGGCAGAGTGGGAAGAGAGTGTTCCAAATAGAAGTAATAGCATGAGCAAAGACAGAGAAGGTGTGAAACAGCAGAGGGCTCACAGGGCACCTAAATCTGTGGTAATTTGGAGGCCAATGTGAGAAAGTTGGAGGGTAGAGAGGAGGCTGAGCCTTCTGCCAGAGCCACATTCTAGTTTGGTGCCATGGTGTGCACTTGGGAGGTAGTCAGGGGGCTGATCTCCCATAAGATACCTTAGGATTCTGGAAATAATAATTTGTTTCTGGAATTTCTCACTGTTTACTTGTCATGTCTGCATTGTTAATTGAGCAAAAGCAGCACTATTCTATCCATTAAATTTGGTAGGGTGGAGATTGACTGAATCTTTTACCCCACAGTTTGCTGACTTAAAAAGTTGAAGGGCTATTCTTTTAGACAATGCACTTAGGCATTTTGAACTCAAACATGCTAGTGTCTCTCTGTGTCTTGGTAGTTGGAGGAAATTGCCAGTGGTTTGGGTTAAGTAGGGCAAAGCCTTTTTTCTTTTTAATTAAAAAAAATTTACAGCTTTTTATTTTTATTTTTATTTTTTTTGAGACGGAGTCTTGCTCTGTTTCCTAGGCTGGAGTGCAATGGTATGATCTCGGCTCACTGCAATCTCTGCCTCCTGGGATTAAGCGATTCTCCCGCCTCAGCCTCCTGAGTAGCTGGGACTACAGGCGCCCGCCATCATGCCCAGCTAATTTTTGTAGTTTTTAGGAGAGACGGGGTTTCACCGTGTTGGCCAGGCTGGTCTCGAACTCCTGACCTCAGGTGATCCACCCACCTTGGCCTTTCAAAGTGCTGGGATTACAGGCATGAGCCACCATGCCTGGCTGCTTTTTAAAATGTATAGGCTGGTTTCAAACTCCTGGACTTGGCTGGGCATGGTGGCTCACACCTGTAATCCCAGCACTTTGGGAGTCTGAGGCAGGCAGGTTATTTGAGATCAGGAGTCCAAGACCAGCCTGGCCAACATGGCGAAACCCCGTCTCTACTAAAAATACAAAAATTAGCCGGGCATAGTGGTGCATGCCTGTAATTCCAGCTACTCGGGATGCTGGGAGGCAGAGGTTGTAGTGAGCCAAGATTGCACCACTGCACTCCAGCCTGGGTTGTGGAGTGAGACTGTCTCAAAAAAAAAAAAAAAAAACCAGAAAAAAACAGAAGAACAATTTCCTGGACTCAAGCAATCCTCCTGCTTCAACCTCCCAAAGTGCTGGGATACAGGTGTGAGCTACCACGCCTGGCCTTATTTTTCTGTTTTATCAAAGTAACACAATTAAAGTTACAACTGTAGGCCTTTCCTCCTGTGTGTAGAGAGAAACTTCTCAAGCCACATGAATAGAGCATAGAGAGTTCAAGAAATGTTAGGCATCTGATAGACCAATTATTGTTTCGAAAGATTGAGTCTGAAAATGCCCATTTCGTAAGGAAGCATCTTGAACTAGTGACACCTTGGGGAATGGGGCATTAATTTGACGCCCCCTGGGCATGGAAAGTTGATGACCTTGTTTCAAAGGCTGGGGTGTAGTTGGAAAAGTGCCTAGGCTGTAATGCCGGAGTTGGTTTCTAAGTTAGTGGGAATAGAGGTTGAAAGAGATCACACAGAGGAGTGATTGCCTTTTAAAGTATTTTAGTTGAAGAATTTTTTTTTTCCTTGAGACATGGTTCCTCTCTGTTGTGCAGGCTGGAGTGCAGCAGCATGATCATCGCTCACTGAAGCCTCCATCTCCCAGGCTCAAGTGGTCTTCCTGCCTCAGCCTCCTGAGTAGCTGGGACTACAGGCATGTGCCACCATGCCTGGCCAATGTTTTTTATTTTTCATAGAGGAAGGGTCTCGCTGTGTTGCTGAGACTGGTCTCAAACTGAGCTCAAGTGATCCTCCCACCTCAGCCTCCCAAAGTGCTAGGATTACAAGCATAAACCACTACACCTGGACTCTAAAGAACTATTTTCAGTAGGTCATATATTATGTAGGTGTATATGTGATTATTTTTCTTCTCTTGCATTATTAGTGGCATATTATACACACTGGTATATTCACCTTTTTTTTTCCCTATTGCTACTGGACTTCGGAGATCCTTCTCTGAGTAATTGCCCTCAAATCCATTGTATCTCTCTAGAGCCTGGCTGATAGCCTTCATAATTTTGTCTAGTATTTGTATGTCAGAGCCAGGATAGTGCAGAGCTTTGGAAAGTCCTGAGTTCAAGTGCTAGTTTTTTTGTTTTTTTCGTTTTGAGACAGAGTCTCACTCTGTCGCCCAGGCTGGAGCATAGGGGCGCCATCATAGCTCACTGCAGTCTCAAACTCCTGGGCTCAAGCCATCCTCTTGCCTTGACCTCCCAAAGCACTAGGATTACAGGCGTGAGCCACCATGCCTGGCCTGAAGTCCTACTTTTATCAGATATTAGCTGCGAGACTTTGGGCATGTTCTGTAACCTGGCTGAGCTTTAGTTTTCTATCTGTAAGATGATGACAGTGATAACCTTGTTTCCCTAGGGCTGGAGCTCATAGTTTCTGCTTGGAATTTTGCATGCTGCCTCTTCCCAAATCTCTCGTGATTTTCTTAGAGGTGCTATTGAAAGTTGAGAAGGACAGTTTTCTTTCTGAGTTGGAATACGTGGCTACACAAAGTTGGATAGTATATTTTCTTTTTGCATTTAATCAGTAGACCAGCAAAGTGAAAGTTGGTTAGCAAAGGAGCATGGCTTCCCTGTGGAAAACCCAGGCCAGGTGGCCTGTAGCACAGAACGTTCACCACATGCTCAACTTGTTGTATTTGCTTGAGGGCTATTTTTTTTTTTTTTAATGTATAGTTTTTTGTTTTGAAAGTGTGTTATGTAGGTGGCATTTTCTTTTCTTTCTTTTTTTTTTGGGACAGAGTCTCATGCTGTCACCCTGGGCTGGAGTGCAGCGGCACGATCTCGGCTCATTGCAACCTTCGCCTCCCAGGTTCAAGTGATTCTCATGCCTCAGCCTGCCAAGTAGCTGGGATTACAGGCACCTACCACTGCACCCGGCTAATTTTTTTTTTTTTTTTTTTTTTGAGATGGAGTCTGGCTCTGTCGCCCAGGCTGGAGTGCAGTGCTGCGATCTCGGCTCACTGCAAGCTCCGCCTCCCAGGTTCAAACCATTCTCCTGCCGCAGCCTCTCGGGTAGCTGGGACTATGAGTAGCTGGGACTACAGGCGCCTGCCAACATGCCCAGCTAATTTTTTGTATTTTTAGTAGAGACGGGGTTTCACCATGTTAGCCAGGATGGTCTCGATCTCCTTACCTCGTGATCTGCCCGCCTCGGCCTCCCAAAGTGCTGGGATTACAGGCGTGAGCCACCGTGCCTGATCGTTTTTTTTTTGAGACGAAGTCTAACTCTGTCGCCCAGGCTGGAGTGCACTGGCGTGATCTCAGCTCACTGCCAGGTCTGTCTCCCGGGTTCATGCCATTCTCCTGCCTCAGCCTCCCAAGTAGCTGGGACTACAGGTGCCCGCCACCATGCCCGGCTAATTTTTTTGTATTTTTAGTAGAGATGGGGTTTCACCATATTAGCCAGGATGGTCTCGATCTCCTTACCTTGTGATCCGCCCACCTCGGCCTCCCGAAGTGCTGGGATTATAAGCGTGAGCCACCGCTCCCGGCCTAATTTTTGTATTTTTTTAAGTAGCGATGGGGTTTTACCATGTTGACCAGGCTGGTTTCAAACTCCTGACCTCTAGTGATCTGCCCACTTCGGCCTCCCAAAGTGTTGGGATTACAGGCATGAGTCACTGCTCCCCACCCAATATTTTCTTTAGACTCATCATTTGTCTTTTCAGTGCCCCTTGCGTAGTTTGTGCACCTGAGCTGCTGCTGCTGTGAAAGCTGCTGTGTATGAGTGGTACACATCTAATTCCTCCACCCTCCCCGCAAAACAATTATAGATCAGAGCATGGTTTTATAAGGTTTCCTTAGACAAGGTGACTTGCTTTCTGTTGGAATGAGTTCTAATTCCTAGAGTTGTATCATGAGGCTTTAGGTTTATAGTTTGAGAGCCAGTACCCATTATGAAGCTTAGAAAAAGCTTTTAGACTGGACACAGTAGCACATGCCTATAATCCCAGCATTTTGGGAGGCTGAGGTGGGAAATTGCATGAACCCAGGAGTTGGAGACCAGCCTAGGCAACATAATGAGATGCCGTCTCTAATAATAATAAAAATATTTCACTTAAAAAATACATAAATAAGGCTGGGTGCAGTGGCTCACGCCTGTAATCCCAGCACTTTGGGAGGCCAAGGCAGGCGGATCCCGAGGTCAGGAGATCGAGACTACCCTGGCTAACACGGTGAAACCCCGTCTCTACTAAAAATACAAAAAATTAGCCGGGTGTGGTGGCAGGCGCCTGTAGTCCCATCTACTCGGGAGGTTGAGGCAGGAGAATGGTTTGAACCTGTGAGGTGGAGCTTACAGTGAGCCGAGATCGCGCCACGGCACTCCAGCCTGGGCAACAGAGCGAGACTCTGTCTCAAAAAAAAAAAAAATAATAATAAAAATAATTAAAAATACATAAATAAGTAAATACATTAAAAAAGAAAGCTTTTGGCCTGGTTCTCTCTGGATAGCACAAGCACTGATTTAATCTATAATGATAAAGAATAGTTGAGTCTCTGCACTAGTAGGTAAGTGCTTTATCTGTGATAACCCAGTTATTTCATTGTCTCATAATTATATCATCATGACAGAGAAAGCCAGCTTAATTTTTTGGCCTCATGGATATAAAGACTCCATATCTTGCTGGGAACAGTGACTCAACGCCGGTATAATCCCGGCACATTGGGAGGCTGAGGCAGGAGGATTGCTTGAATCCAGGAGTTCATTCATGACTAGCCTTGACAACGTAGGGATACCCTGTCTCTACTAAAAAAAAAAAATTAGCCAGGTGTGGTGGGTGGTCCTAGTTACTCGGGAGCCTGAGGTGGGAGAATACTCTGGTCTGGAAGGTTGAGGCTGCAGTGAGTCTTGACTGCTCCACTTCACTCCAGCCTGGGTTACAGAGTGAGACCCTGCCTCAAAAGAAAAAGATTCCGTATCTGTAAGGTGGGCATCAGAAAATTTTTTAGGGTTTTTGTGAGTTGACTTCATGTCTTTAATTAGTCCTATGCTTTTGTAAAGTAGTTTGCAATATGTACCTCAGGCTGTACTCTTCACTCTGGAAGCTATTTGAAAAGTGTGTGAACTGCAGTTTGGCAGCACGTGATGACAGCAGTTCATTAGAGCCTCTTTCTGTGGGAAGAAGCAGATTGGTTTTCTTTTTCTTAGGCCATGAGAAACAGCTTAGTGGGATCCTCAAAGAAGGTCAGAACCAGAACCGGGTTTTTCAGATGTTGATAATGTGAGGTGGGTTGCAAGGAGCAGCCCCTGGTAGGCAAGGATTGGGGCTGCTTTGTCCAGATCACTGCTGGACTGTAAGGCTAATGTCTTTGTGGTTGGTAGTGAGTGCAAGTTTCTCAAAGTACATCAGCCCTACCTATAAACCCTTAATGCCCCAAATGACCTCGGTCACCAAACCACTTCAGGGCTTTATTTTTATCCTATCCGTTTTGTTTCAATATGTGAGGTTGGTTTCTTTCCTCTAACAGAGCAGAGTTCTCTGGGGGAAGAAACAGAGTGCCAGGGTGCTGCTGAGGCTGGTTAAACACCAAAACCACACTCTTCATCTTTCTGGGGTTGAGACGTGACATAAGCCATGCTGCAAACGCCAGCTTCCACACTGAAGAAACCTCTCTCAGTAGTCACTTTGTTTATTTTTTGTGTATTGTGTTTTTAGGCAAATAAAATATAGAGGAGTAAATGGTGTACCTTCCCATTCTGCTGTAGACAGAGATCTAACAATGAGCACTTGCTTAAAATCTGCCATTTCCCAGCTTAAGGTTTTTCATCCTCCCCGAGAGTGTTGATGAGAACTCTCAAAACTCACCAGGTCTCAGGAAGCCGGATTACCAGCATATCCTGTTCGCGTGCGTGTGTATATTCTGTGTTACCCACAGGCCACTTTCCACCCCACGTGACCTTTAGTTACCATCCGGAAAGTCAGGACCCAGATACCCGTCAGAATTTCCAGGCCTTGGTTTGGTTTAGACATTTTAGAAGATGTTAACAGCAATAATTGTAAAAGACTTTGAGTGGCACGCATGGTGAACAGAAAGTACTAGATCCTGAAGAGGGGGGAAAGGCATTTCTGTGCTCTTCCTGGTAAAGTGTTTGAAAATGAACATTCAGAAGAAAACCTAAAGCACCTGAAATGCACAGGGGACGAGAATGAGAGGTGATTAGAAGCCCAACACATGCACCAGTTCTTAGGTGGTAAGGCTAAGTTCTGAAGTTCATATTTCATTCTTTAAGATTGTCATATGCATTATTGGTGTTGTTTATAGCATACTCCATCACACTTTATTTTAACCAGCATCTCTAAATTAATATAAACAGACTAATGATTCAGGTAATACCCTAGAACAGGGATGGGCAAAATATTGCCAGTGGCCTATGAGCTAAGAATGGTTTTTACATTCTTATGTCAGGAGTTGTTTAAAAAGAGCAACACGAGACAGAGATGTACGTGGCTCACGAAGCCTAAATTATTTTCTGTGACCTTTTACAGAAAAAATTTACCACTGCTGTAAAAGCTGGGAGAGGTGAATGCAGTTAATGATAAGGTTCTTCTGTTAGGAAATTGATTGTTAATGAGAATGTTATCGCCTTTTAAGCAGACAGTTTTTTTTTTTTGAGAGGCAGTCTTGCTCTGTTGTCCAGGCTGGAGTGCAGTGGCGCAATCTCAGCTCACTGCAACCTCCGCCTCCCAGGTTCAAGCGTTTCTCCTGCCTCAGCCTCCCCAGTAGCTGGGACTACAGGCTCCTGTCACCACCCGCTGCTAATTTTTGTATTTTTAGAAGAGATGGTGTTTCGCCATGTTGGCCAGTCTGGTCTCGAACTCCTGACCTCAGGTGGTCAGCCTCCCAAAGTGCTGGGATTACAGGCTTGAGCCACTGTGCCCGGCCGACAGTTCTTCATTATGCAGGTCTGACCTTGCAGGATGTTTAGCGTTCCTGGCTCTGCTCATTAGATGCCAGTAACGGCCCACACATACTTCCAAACAGTTCCTGGGATGGGTGGTCATATTCTGGTTGAGAACCACTACTTTTGAAGCTTGACAAGGTCAAAAACATTTTGTTAAGGTTTACTCCTTCATTTCCTCTCAGAGAACCTGACTTGGGATTTGGATCTTGATGGCCTAGGGATTAACAATAGTGAGAGAATTTGAGTAGCTAGTGGAATAGGGAGAGTTTTCAGTAGGGTGGAATACAAGATTTTAAGGAAATTTTTTTTTTTTTTTTGAGATGGGGTTTCGTTCTGTCACCCAGGCTGGAATGCAGTGGCGCGATCTCAGCTCACTGCAACCTTCGCCTCCTGGGCTCAAGCAATCCTCCCCTCCCAGCCTCCTGAGTAGCTGGGACTACAGGCACACACCACCATGCCCAGCTAATTTTTGTATTTTCCGTAGAGACGGGGTTTCACCATGTGGGTCAGGCTGGTCTCAAACTCCTGGGCTCAAGCGATCCACCCACCTCAGCCTCCCAAAGTGCTGAGATTATAGCTATGAGTCACTGTGTCCAGCCTAGGAAGTAATTTAATGTTGCGTTTGTTGCTTGACACCTATTTTAAGAATTGAGATTGATTTGTGATTTATGAAAGGTTTGTTTTGATGTTGCTGGTGTTGTGAAAAGCACATTCCTCTCTATGTGAGAGATGGAGTAGCCATCTTTGGCCTTAATATCCAGATGATTTTGAGGTCTGTGGGAATCTGTATGGTGTACTTGAGGGACTTGTTCAAAGCCAATGTAAAGATGTAGTTTTGGCATCTCATGAATAACCTGATATCCCGACTTAAGCCAGAACTCTGGCATTAGAGAATTTTCCAGCTTGGGAGAGTTGACTGAGAAAAGTCCTCCTTTGGCTCCTTGCCAAGTTAGACAAGGGAGCAATCAGCTGCTGAGTTCCAGCCAACTGGAATGTACGTGAGGGGGTACTATAAATCGTCCCTTAGGATCCAGCTTGTGGTCTGTGAAGAGCCTTCCAAATAAGAATGAGACCTGTACATTGGATCCTTGTTCAATCTGCAGCTGCTATAGGAAGGAGTAGTGAGGTGATGTTACTCTGGGAGCAGCTCACTTTATATAGTAACACACTGCCTGTTATGTGGGGTAAGACTGCACTACCCTTTATGTTTTTCCCGTGTTGCGTTTCTCACCAACTTCCTATATTGGTTTTTGTTTCTGACTGTTCTCTTGGGGAGCTGTATCCATAGTTTGATCATTCTGTAAAATCCCTCTTTGCTCTTAAAGGTGCCAGAATTTCATCTCTCTACCCTCTTTTCAACATCTTAGATCTGATGTATTTGAGCTAAGATAGAGAATATGAAATCGTTGTTTTCTTGGCTCGTGATCCTTCCCCAGTCTGCGGGCTGTTTGTTTGACTCCAGGGGGAAACTCCAGGTTCTTCCCCTCTTGGAAGCCTTTCACTTTACTCATAAATATTTAGTATTGAAGTGAACTGTGCTCTTTTTTTTCTCCCTAGTATGAGTGGATAGACTCTCTAGACCAGAAAGAATTTAAAATACTATCTGTACCCTCTGTCTTTCTGATGTTTTGGTTCCTATAAAATGTATTAACCACACATTTTTATTTTTAAGAGCTTAAGTGGTTTTTTGAGTTGTCTTCCATCTTCTGATCCAAAATTTGTTGAGCATTTATTATAGAAATCACTAGGCACCTCTCCTGCTACTGTTTTTTCCGTGTCGTTCATGCTTAGAACCATCAGAGAGCTATGTAACTAGGTAACATTGGTTACTAGTAGTACTGCTTTTACTGATTTGTACTTGAGTGTGTCATCAGCCTCTATGAAGATACATAAAAAAGAGACCTAGAGAAGGATTGCTGTTTGTGTTGCGTGGTGTCTTTGTGGAAGCCTGTGGAAGAAATTTCTGCTCTTAGTAGAAAATGGGTTTCTTCAACCTCATGCACATTTGTAAGATTGTTATAATAGCAAATTTGTGAATTTTTAACCCAGAATGATTCTCTATTTTAATTGTTCCAGAGGTTGTAGCCAAACTTCCTTTAGTAAGTGTAAAGGGCGTTTATCTTCGGTCGTGACCTTACTGTTTGGTGACCTCTTTATCTTTTTCTCTTTGGCTTCTCTTTCTTGTTTTTATCTATTTTATCTTACAGTATAGTATATACCTTTGTATGTTGCCTAAAATAAGTGGCTTCAAAGTTTTATATAGATATTTTTTCTCTTTTCACTTGCCCATTTTGCTGTAAAACCTCCTCTGAGGCCAGCTAGTAGTCTCTGAGGAAATCAAGTTTTTCCCTGTCCCAATTCAGGTCATTTCCATAAATATTCATGGAGCACCTTTATATATTGTTATTCTAGGTACTGCACACAGAAAAGTAAGTGATGTTGGTCCTTCCCTCAAAAACACAGTCTAGTAAGAAAAAAGGATATGTAAATAAATACTTGCAATAAAGTGTTATAAATGTAATAATAGAAATATATACACTGGACAGAGGTAAAAGAGATTAACTCAGGGTGAACAGGTAGAGCGACCTAGAAAGGTAATCTTTGTCCTTAATTTTGCAAGTCAAAGAAGTATTTTAGGTAGATGTGGTCAGCTGACTTTTCTGGCAGAAGGAACAACATGGATAAAAACATAGCATGGTTCGAAACTGCAAGGAATGGTTGCTTCTGAGATTCCCAGCCAAGATTCTGTCATTATAATGTCTTGGGCCATGGTACAGATGTCCACATTGGTGCTGTCTGATCACTCAGTTGGAACTGAAGATTCATCACAATGTAGATAGATTTGAGCTTTTGATTTGGCTCAAGCTTAGAAGTGAATCCTTCAAATAGTTCTTTCTCTGCTTTATTTTATGTATTAGCAAAGGTTGACTCACTCTAAAGTCATGCCTTCCATCATTCTGGGAAGCTTTCTGAGCCAAGCCCAGCTTGGCTTAGGAATAAGTTATGCTTTGTGTTGTAATCATTGGCACTAAGTCCTATTCTTGACTTTCACACACACAGTAGGACTGCAGCTCCTGATGCGTATGGGAAAGAGGAATTGTGATAATACTCGCTATGGATTTACATTTTTCTGGGATTTTTTTTCTTGATAAAGATGCTAAAACCTTATTCTTGCTATTGAGATTTTGAGTTTACTTGTGCCACAAATCTCTGAGATGCTAGGTCCTAATTTGTCAAGCAAACTATGTTAACACATTTGACATTCTCTTCTGAGGAATGTCTTTGGCAGGTTTTCCTTTAGACTTCTGGACAGATCTATAAAACTCTATGGCTTTTGAAATACTTGCAAGTGACATATGTCAAAAGGTTGAATAAGGCACTAATAGTGCCCTTCGTGCTCCTAGGAAGCTGTCACTTGTGGTCACTGCAGACCAGGAGTGAGATCTTATGGGTTGCATTCCTAAATTTCTTTTTGTTTGCATGAACAGATTTTTTAATCTCTTTCCTTGTCTTTACATCCGTACACTGGGGATATAGCATACACCATCAACACATCTGCACAGCTTTGTCCACCGAGGGGTAGCAGAAAGTTGTTTATTATAGCACCAGTCATCTGCATGTCTACCACCTCAGAGTTAGAATAATGGTGGGGATTAGGACATATGGGGCAAAGGGTATTTATTGGCTGTGAAACAAAGGCTTTTTGTGGACTAGTAGAAAAAGTTGTGGCAATTTAAAAAATTATTGCAGAGTTAAAAGAAATCTTCCAAAAATATATATACACAGAAAAGTGCACATAACAGAGCCATACAGGTGATAAATTGTGACAATGTAAGCATACTTGTATAACCAGCAGTTTATTTACTTGTATCGCTGTCATTCTTCTCTTCCCTTTTTTTTTTTTTGAGACGGAGTCTCGCTCTGTCACCCAGGCTAGAATGCAGTGGTGCGATCTTGGCTCACTGCAAGCTCCGCCTCCCGGGTTCAAGTGATTCTCCTGCCTCAGCCTCCTGAGTAGCTGGGACTACAGGTGCTCGCCACCACACCTGGCTAATTTTTTTTTTTTTTGTATTTTTAGTAGAGAAAGGGTTTCACTGTGTTAGCCAGGATGGTCTCGATCTCCTGACCTCGTGATCTGCCCTCCTGGGCCTCCCAAAGTGCTGGGATTACAGGCGTGAGCCACCGCGCCCGACTTTTTTTTCTTTTTTCTTAAATATATTTTTGAGATAGAGTCTTGCCCTGTTGCCCAGGCTGGAGTGGAATGGCATGATCTCGTCTCACTGCAACCTCCGCCTCCCGGGTTCAAGTGATTCTTCTGCCTCAGCCTCTCAAGTAGCTGGGATTACAGGCACCCGCCATCACACCCAGCTAATTTTTGTATTTTCAGTAGAGACAGGGTTTTGCCATTTTTGGCCAGGCTGGTCTCAAACTCCTGACCTCAGGTGATCCACCCACCTCGGCCTCCCAAAGTGCTGGGATTACAGGCATGAGCCACTGCGCCCGGCCTCTTCCCTTTTAACTCTAAACTCAAATTTTTTTCTATACGTTTAATGATAGCAGTGACAGAGCATTTTAAATAAATTAGGAAGAAGTTAATGCCCATGTTTTCCTTGCTTTGTGGATCCTTGTTAAGATTGATTTTCATTGTTCAGAGACAGAGGACGAAGAGAGAATTTGGAAGATAAAGAATTGGATCAAAGATAAAAGATTTGAGGTGTTTGCTTTGACTTTTGAACTACAGAGTTTGGGTCTGGGAACCAGCACAGAAAAGATTTGATTGACCAAAAAAACTAGCTGGAAGCAGGCCTTGCCTCCAGTCACAGTGAAACTGAGTCTCTCACCAACAGTGCTGTGGTTTACAGCCTTCATCTTGAAGCATCTGGCTGTGGGGGGGGAAAGTGACATCATGGCCTGCCTTCTCCTGGACATGCTTGGTTCAGCTCAGATGTGGAATCCCAGAAGATCTGCAATGCGTGTTTCTAGCCTTGTTTTTAGTGTCAAGGCGAATGCCAGGCTGTAGCAGGCCATGTTGTTGTCTTTGTGTAATCCATTTGTATTCTAACAGTTTTCTTCTTTTTCTGCTGCTAGCTGCCAGGGAGGTAGAGTTGCCTCTGTTGATAAAGAGCAGATACAGAAGTTCACATCCAAACCTGAATGACCATTTTTAACTTGAAACACTTTTCCTGGGAGTTGATGCGCCAGAATCCTTCCCTTATTTGGTGCCTTGCTTAAATCTGAAGCTCGCACAAGGTAGCCAAAGCTCCCTGTGTGCTGGTTATTTGCTTTATGGCAAATAACCACAGCAGAGTGGTTTGTGAAACCGTCTTTGTGACCACATCTATCTTAAACTGAAGCTTCGTTCTCCTTTGGGTTCTTAGATTAGTTCGTGCTCCTCCCTTTCCTGAGAGATTCAGGGGTTTTCCTGTATGGCGTTAGGTAGGTAGAGAGGTTATATTTTCAAATATTTTTCTGGACTGTGCACAGTCCCTTTATTAGTGTGCGAATGCACACATATTCCTTGAACTTTTTTTTTTTTTTTTTTTTTGGAGACAGGGTCTCGTTTTGTCACCCAGGCTGGAGTGCAGTGGCACGATCTCGGCTCACTGCAGCCTCAACCTCCTGGGCTCAGGTGATCCTCCCACCTCAGCCTCCCAACTGGGACTACAGGCGTGTGCCACCATAGCTGGCTAATTTTGTTTATTTTTTGTAGAGATGAGGTCTCACTGTGTTGCCCAGGCTGGTCAAACTCCTGGGCCCAAGTGATCCTCTTACAGGCATGAGCTACTGTGCCCGTCCTTGAAGGACTCTTTCCTTATTCATCAGGCTCCTGTTGCTTTATCACCATGAATAAACTTGTTCAGTTTTACAATTTTATCTTTTATCTCTTCTTACTGATACTATTTGAGGGTGCATGTTGTTACATGCTTCTGCCAACTTGCATGGTATTGTCTGGACTGGAAGTATTTACTTACCTTAATCTCCAAGACTTCTCTGTTGGTTTGGCCTGGTGGTCTCTCGGTGAAAGAAAGCTGAAACCATTGGTGGGTTTTGTTTGGGGCTTTTGCTTTTGGTCTTTATAGAAACATTCTCCGTGTCTGTCTCGGTTCTGCTGAAAAAGTTGCCTTTTGTTTGTGTGTTTTTGAGATAGAGTCTCGCTTTGTCGCCCAGGCTGGAGTGCAGTGGTGTGATCTCTGCTCACTGCAACTTCCGCTTCCTGGGTTGAAGCAATTCTCCTACCTCAGCCTCCCAACTAGCTGGGATTACAGGTACATGCCACCACACCGTGCTCATTTTTGTATTTTTAGTAGAAATGGGGTTTCACCATGTTGGCCAGGCTGGTCTTGAACTCCTGACCTCGGCCCCCCAACATGCTGGAATTGCAGGTGTGAGCCATCGCGCCAGTTCCTTTTTTTTTTTTTTGAGCTGGCGTCTTGCTCTGTCACTGAGGCTGGGAGTGCAGTGGCGTGATCACAGCTCACTTCACCCTTCACCTCCTGGGCTCAAGCAATCCTCCCAACTCAGCCCATAGAGTAGCTGGGACTACAGGCTGCACCACCACGCCCAGCTAATTATTTTTTCGTAGAAACAAGGTCTCTCTATGTTGCCCAGGCTGGTCTTGAATTCCTAGGTTCAAATGAGGTTGCCTTTTTTTTTTTTTTTTTGAGACAGAGTCTTACTCTGTCGCCTAGCCTGGAGTGCAGTGGTGCAGTCTTGGCTCACTGCAACCTCCATTTCCCAGTTCAAATGATTCTCCTGCCTCAGTCTCCCCAGTAGCTGGGATTACAGGCATGTGCCATAACACCCAGCTAATTTTTTTGTGATTTTAGTAGAGATGGTCCTTCACCGTGTTGGCCAGGTTGGTCTCGAACTCCTGACCTCCGTTGATCTGCCTGCGTCAGCCTCCCAAAGTGCTGGGATTACAGGCGTGAGTCACTGCACCCAGCCAAGGTCGCCTTTTTTAAAAGGCGAGAAATAAAGAGCTCAGGCTCTAGGCAAGTCAATTAACCTCTTTGCTGTTTTCTGTAAGGAAATAATAGTAGTACTTATCCTCACAGAATTGTTGTAATGTTAACAGACGCAAAGTGCTTAGAGTAGTGTGCTACACATAGAAGATGCTATAGAAGTTTTGACCATCTATATATGTATATATATGTGTGTGTGTGTGTGTGTGTGTGTGTGTATATTTTTTTTTTTTTTTTTTTTTTTTTTTGCGACAGAGTCTCGCTTTGTCGCCCAGGCTGGAGTCCAGTGGCATGATCTCAGCTCACTGCACCCTCCGCCTTCTGGGTTCAAGTGATTCTCCTGCCTCAGCCTCCTGAGTAGCTGGGACTACAGGCATGTGCCACCATCAGCTAATTTTTGTATTTTTTTGTAGAGATGGGGTTTCGCCATTTGGTCAGGCTGGTCTCGAGCTCTTGATCTCGTGATCCGCCCAGCCCCCCAAAGTGCTGGGATTACAAGCATGAGCCACCAGGCCCAGCCAGGAAAATTTCAATGTACTGTAAAGTTTGGGAACCACTGGGCTGGAAGATAAATACAAAGGCCCGAGTTGGGAGCATACTCATCACATTTAAGGAGCAGAAGGAGGTAGTGGAGTAAGATTATATAGGTCTTTTGTAGGCCATTGTAAGGACTTTGGCTTTCATTCTGATGTTAAGTGTAGTCTCTTTTTGCCCACTCACTTAGGCTGGAATGTAGCAGATGGAATTGCTACTACTCAGGATCAGAATCCTTAAATCCTGACAGAAATACCTTTTCCTTTAAATACCTTTGGGGGCCAGGCGTGGTGGCTCGTGTCTATAATCCCAGCTACTCAGGAGGCTGAGGCACAGGATTCTTTTGGCCGGGCGCAGTGGCTCACGCCTGTAATCCCAACACTTTGGGAGGTGGGCAGATCACGAGCTCAAGAGATGGAGACCATCCTGGCCAACGTGGTGAAATCCCGTCTCTGCTGAAAATACAAAAATTAGCTGGGTGTGGTGGCACGTGCCTGTAGTCCCAGCTACTCGGGAGGCTGAGGCAGGAGAATTGCTTGAACCTGGGAGGCGGAGGTTGCAGTGAGCCGAGATCACGCCACTGCACTACAGCCTGGGCAACAGAGCGAGACTCTGTCTCAAAAAAAAAAAAAAAAGGAAGAATCCCTTGAACCTGGGAGGTGGAGGTTGCAGTGAGCCAAGATGGCACCACTGTACTCCAGCCTGGGCAACAGAGTGAGACTCCGTCTCAAAATAATAAATAAATAAATACATACATACATACATACATACCTTTGTCTGGGTTTTGCCACATTACTCTCCAAAAAGAAGTGGATTTAAATTCTCACAGATAGTGATGTGTATGCTCTTTCCCTACAACATTCATCTCTTTTTCTCACGAGTTTTCTTGTATATATTGCCTGGATAACCTATTTAATCCGTATCAAATCTGTCTATCTATTTTTTTTAAAAATTAAGTCTCACTGTGTCTCCCAGGCTGGAGTGCAGTGGCACCATCACGGCTCACTGCAATCTCTGCCTCCCAGGCTCCAGCAGTTCTCCCACCTAAGCCTCACAAGTAGCTAGAACTACAGGTGTGCGCCACCATGCGTGGCTGATTTATTTTATTTTATTTTTATTTTTTGTAAAGATGGAGTTTTGCCATGTTGGCCCAGGCTGGTCTCAAACTCCTGAGCTCAAGCGATCCACCCGCCTCAGCCTCTTAAGGTGCTGGGATTACAGGCGTGACCCACCGTGCTTGGCCTTTAGTCTTTTTAAAATACTCATGCTTGGTTCTGCACCACCGCTAGTCTGTAAATTAAGTTACTTGGAACTAGAACCACTGAGACTTAAAGACAGGGCTCATGATTGTCCAAGTGTGGAATGACAATCTTCACATCTTCCCTCCCTCTGTGTTTCCATTGCCAGTGGATGATTGCAACAACAACCTTTTACCTGGTCTCCTCACCTCCACACACTTGACTCCACCCAACCCCTCACCCCTCAAAAAAACCCTAAGTTTTCTTTTTTTTTTTTCTTCTTATTTATTTATTTATTTATTTTATTGATCATTCTTGGGTGTTTCTCGCAGAGGGGGATTTGGCAGGGTCATGGGACAACAGTGGAGGGAAGGTCAGCAGACAAACAAGTGAACAGAGGTCTCTGGTTTTCCTAGGCAGAGGACCCTGCGGCTCTCCGCAGTGTTTGTGTCTCTGGGTATTTGAGATTAGGGAGTGATGATGACTCTTAATGAGCATGCTGCCTTCAAGCATCTGTTTAACAAAGCACATCTTGCACCGCCCTTAATCCATTCAACCCTGAGTGGACACAGCACATGTTTCAGAGAGCACATGGTTGGGGGTAAGGTCACAGATCAACAGCATCCCAAGGCAGAAGAACTTTTCTTAGTACAGAACAAAATGAAAAGTCTCCCATGTCTACTTCCTTCCACACAGACACAGCAACAATCTAATTTCTCTATTCTTTCCCCACCTTTCCCCCCTTTCTATTCCACAAAACCGCCATCGTCATCATGGCCCGTCTCAATGAGCTGTTGGGTACACCTCCCAGACGGGGTAGTGGCCGGGCAGAGGGGCTCCTCACTTCCCAGAAGGGGCGGCCGGGCAGAGGTGCCCCCCACCTCCCGGACGGGGCGGCTGGCCGGGCGGAGGCGCCCGCCACCTCCCTCCCGGACGGGGCAGCTGGCCAAAACCCTAAGTTTTCTAAACATCCAGAACAACCTTTACAAATACAGGTTTGCTCATGTCACTTCCCTGCTGAAAACCCTTCAGTGGCTTTAATGAAGATCACATTCTTTTTTTTTTTTTTTTTTTTTTTTTTGAGACGGAGTCTCGCTCTGTCGCCCAGGCTGGAGTGCAGTGGCGCGATCTCGGCTCACTGCAAGCTCCGCCTCCCGGGTTCACGCCATTCTCCTGCCTCAGCCTCCCGAGTAGCTGGGACTACAGGCGCCCGCCACCACGCCCGGCTAATTTTTTGTATTTTTAGTAGAGACGGGGTTTCACCGTGTTAGCCAGGATGGTCTCGATCTCCTGACCTCGTGATCCGCCCGCCTCGGCCTCCCAAAGTGCTGGGATTACAGGTGTGAGCCACCGCGCCCGGCCGAAGATCACATTCTTTAACAAGGACCTGTCCAACATGCCCTGCCCACTTCTCCAGACTTTCTTACAGAATCAATCATCTAGCCATGCCAGTCTACAATGTACCACTTTTGAGAACATCATATATGTTGTTCCCTTTGCTTAAGACACACCAGGACGTGACTCCCTCTCCTCTCCAAAACCAACTGTTTCTTCAACCCTCACTTTTCAACTCAAAGGTCTTTTCCTCTGAGAGGATATCTCTGGTGCTGCTTCTGTATATTTCCACAGCATCCTAGCCTTCCCCAGTCATGGCACTTCATAATTGTCTGTGTTACCCATAGAGGAAGGATTATCTCTGCCTTGTTCACAGCTTGTGCACTGTGCTTTGTACATAAAATGTGCCCAGTAGGTTTTTGTTGAATGAATAAATGTATGGGTCCATGTGTGAGGAAGTCTTCACCATCCCTCTTACGCTGTGTCAACCTGTTGATTTATAAGATGGGTTTGATGGCCGAGCACGGTATCTCACGCCTGTAGTCCCAGCACTTTGGGAGCCCGAGGTGGGCAGATCACTTGAGGCCAGAAGTTCAAGACCAGCCTGGACAACATGGCAAAACCCCGTCTCTACTAAAAATACAAAAATTGGCCGGGCTTGGTGGCACGTGCTTCTAGTCCCAGCTACTTGGGAAGCTGAGGCACGATTGTTGCTTGAACCCCAGAGGCGGAGGTTGCAGTGAGCTGGGATTGCACCAGTGTACTCCAGCTTGGGCCACAGAGCAAGACTCTGTCTCAACAACAACAAAAAAAATGGGTTTGAGCTTATGTATGTGCTCTTGGAAAACTGTTATCTGGTTGTCCATGGGATCACGCAGTGGGAGCTTCAGCCATTTCCTCTTCTCTCTCACTTCCTGGAGTGCAGACACAGCGTGTCCTAGCTCCCCTACTATTTGGGTGGATGGGCATGAGAGTTCCCAGGCATGAGAGAGATGAGGCAGAAAGAAGAGTCATTCAGAAAGTAACTCAGTCAGAGCAACAGTGTTGCCCTTTGGCTGAACTTTCTTTCTCTTTTTCTGTGTACCTGGAGATGCTAAGCTGGTGGCACATTTGAGTTGGTTGTTACAGATTGTCACACCACAGCATAGGGATTCATAAATCTTAATCTGGCACTTTCCTTTGATAGGGATGTTTTGGGAAACGTCCAGGAGCCCTCTGGCCTAAGTGAAGTCTCCGTTGGGCTTGGGTGTGTTCTGTTTCTACCCTGCAGGTGGAAACCTGGAGAGTCCCATTTATATTTCTCTGTAGCCTTTGGAGTGTGTGACTGTCCGAGAGCAGGAGTCTTTGGCATTTGGTGTCACTTGTGCTATCATAGAATGGGATGGTGCTTACACAGAAGCTGGCAAGAAAAGTTATATTTACTTAGAATTATGCATTTGTGGGCTCTTAGCATTGGGAGAAATACTGAAAATTGGTGCTTCTCCTGTGGTGGTGAGAAGTGGGTGGATATCAGAATATTCTGGTGGCGGAGGGGGGTCTTTTAAACCATACTCTTCATCACTACCCATCTTCACCTCTTAGCTCATGAGAATCGTGACTGTTTCCAGTACACGTGTGTGGTAGCTCTGAAGTGCGGTGCAGGAAGAAACATCTTTTGAGACACCAGCGTTGTAGATTATTTAGCCCAGGTATCAGCAGACATTTTTTTTCTGTAACGATCTGGATAGTAAATATTTTAGGCTACTTTGGGAGACCGAGGCGGGCGGATCAGGAGGTCAGGAGATCGAGACCATCCTGGTCAACACGGTGAAACCCCATCTCTACTAAAAGAATACAAAAAATTAGCCAGGCGTAGTGGCAGGCGCCTGTAGTCCCAGCTGCTCAGGAGGCTGAGGCAGGAGAATGGCGTGAACCCGGGAAGCGGAGCTTAGAGTGAGCCGAGATCGCGCCACTGCACTCCAGCCTGGGTGACAGAGCGAGACTCCATCTCAAAATAAATAAATAAATAAATAAATAAATAAATAAATAAAATAAAATATTTTAGGCTTTGTGGGCCATGTGCCCTCTGCTGCAGCTACTCAGCTCTGCCTTTGTAGGGGGAAAGCAGCCACTGACAATATGTAAACAAATGAGGGTGGCTGTGTTTCAACAGAATTTTATTTATGGAAACTGAAATTTATATTTCATATAATTTTCATGTCATCAAATATTCTCTTATTTTTTTTTTCAGCCATTAAAAAAATGTAAAAACCATTCTTAGCTCATGGGTCATACAAAAACAGGTGGCAGGCTACATTTGACCCATGGCCATAGTTTGCCAGTGTCTGATATAGCCCAGTGGTTTCCAAATCTGGCTATCTTTCACAGTGACCTGGAGACCTTTAAAAATGTTGATTCGAAGTGCCCCTCTCTCGTCCTTGAGGATTCTGATTCTGTAGGAGTGAGGAATCTGTATTTTTTATAAAAGCTGTTCAGGTGATAGACATACACTCAGGGTTGTGGAATTAGCAGTACTGATCTCACTCATTTAACTGTTGAAGAAACAGCCCTAGAAGATTTATGTGACTTCCTGATAATTAACAGCAAATAAATGGCATGACCAAAATTCGAACCCAGGTTTTCAACTCTTAAGATCAGCGGTCTCTGTTCATACCATTCTGTCATATTCCTTCCCCCAGTAAACACATGAGCAGTAAATACAAAATACTGAACATATTCGTGGCTCCTTCTTTTCTTTTCTTTATTTTTTTTGAGTTGGAGTCTTGCTCTGTCACCAGGCTGGAATGCAGTGGCGCCATCTTGGCTCACTGCAGTCTCCACCTCCCAGGTTCAAGCAATTCTCCTGCCTCAGCCTCCTGAGTAGCTGGGACTATAGGCACACCCAGCTAATTTTTGTATTTTTAGTAGAGACGGGGTTTCACCGTTGGCCAGGATGGGCTCGATCTCTTGACCTCGTGATCTGCCCACCTCAGCCTCCCAAAGTGCTGGGATTACAGGCGTGAGCCACCGTGCCCGGCCTCCTTCTTTTCTTTTTTTTCCTTTTTTTTCTGAGATGGAGTTTCGCTCTTGTTTCCTAGGCTGGAGTGCAGTGGTGCGATCTTGGCTCACTGCAACCTCCGTCTCCTGGTTCAAGCGATTCTCCTGCCTCAGCCTCCAGTGTAGCTGGGATTACAGGCATGAGCCACCACGCCCGGCTAATTTTGTATTTTTAGTAGAGATGGGGTTTCTCCATGTTGGTCAGGCTGGTCTCGAACTCCCGACCTCAGGTGATCCGCCCGCCTCGGCCTCCCAAAGTGCTGGGATTACAGGCATGAGCCACTGTGCCTGGCCCCTTCTTTTCTTTATACCTGGTGCCAGTTTCCTTTCTGAGAGCCAGCCAGGTACTCTGAGCTCGGCTGTCCCTCTGCTGGTTGGCTGTGTTTTCTGGAGCTGCCTACTGATTTAGCTCAATTTCCCTCAGTCTGCTGGCTTTAACTAGGAGGGATAACGAAGTAACAAATTGCTTTAGTATAAGAGGCAGCACTAAACTGCAGTGCAAAGTTGAGAGGCATTGTTTCAAGGGGTGCGTTAGTTGGAAGAGGTAGTTTTAAAAGGCACATTTTACACTTAAATTCACATGTCTCAGATCTAGCCATCTTAAGTGGGACATCTGTACAGGAACTTATGTTTAATTGAAGCTAATTGAGCTGTCATCCAGCCCTGAACAGTTCTGGAGTGGAGGAAGTAAAGGGTGAAGAGCTGTTGCCATCCCGGTTCTACCTCAGCCTCAGCGTGGCTCTTTGGTCCAAGTAAGGGGCCTAAGGGTTGATTTGATTTGCTACATCTTCCTACGAGGCATTTGAGTCACGCTATTTGGTTTTCCCGTGCTTTTTTTTTTTTTTAATCTGTATATCCTGGAAAGAGGAATGCTGAAAGTACTAATAATGAATAACTCTGTCTTTACTGAATGATTATTGCATTACTGATGGGTTTCCACATTTTTTGTACCAGGCCCCCCTTCCCTCATTTTTTTTTTTTCTTAGATTCCATCTCATCTCTGTGACAGGAAAAATGACAGTAAGGGAAACACAGTGCCTCCTGGAACCTTCATAGGCCTTGTCTTAGGTGTGGGAGCATAAATGGCCAGTGGGCAAGTTGGTATGTTATTTATCTTTGTTCTTGGACTATAAGCTCCTTGGCATCAGAGACCCTATCTTGTTGGTTTCCTCTTATGCCCAGCATAGGAGCGCAGGGATGAGGATGACGTGTGAACAACATCACCAGTGCGCCCACATCCTCCTCCGCCTTGTGATCTCATTGCTTGAGAGAGACTGATAAGTGGGCTTTGATTGAATGCTGTGAAAGTCCTGGCTGTTTTACTAACAGGTACTCATGAAATTTGGTCTCCACCTATGTTGTCTCATATCTAAGAGGATAGATCCCTTTTCTAAAATGCAAGAAAGTTTTGTTTTTTTAAAAATATATGGGGCCAGGACCAGTGACTCATGTCTGTAATCCCACTACTTTAGGAGGGTGAGGCAGAGGATCGCTTGAGCCCAGGAGTTTGAGACTCCTTGGCAATATAGTGAGACCCCGTCTCTACAAAAAATAAAAAACTAGCCAGGCATGATTGTGTGTGCCTGTAGGCCCAGCTACTTAGAAGGCTGAGGCGGGAGGATCACTTGAGCCTAGGAGGTCTAGACAACAGTGAGCCTTGATTGTGCCACTGTACTCCAGTCTGGGTGACAGAGTGAGACCCTGTCTCAAAAAAAAAAAAAGTGTATATAAAAATAGAGACATTCCATACAGATAAGAGAATAATAATTTATGCTCCTCAAAATCACTTTAAAATGCACTTTGGAATTCCTTTAATACTGACTACCCTTACTGTCCTTAAAATGATTCACTTTTCAGAAATTCGGTTTTTCACACGACTCTGTAGAAGCAGGAACGACTCTTTCGGAACTGAAATTGGGCCTGTTTCAGAATCCCCTCCTCTTGCGTTGTTGCCTCTGAGCAGCTTCTCTCTCCTTCCTTGCTCCACAGTCACCAAGCCCTTAGACACAATTTTGAGTGATAACTTTCAAGGCTTGTGTAAAACATCTACTCCTCAGACTACTTTAATTTGTATTATTTCATTTCATCCTTTTAGTTCTGAATTAGGTAATGTCAGTGGTAGAAATTCCATTTTACAGTCCAGGAACAATCCAAAACATTTTACTTATAATCCCACAGTTAATGACAGGACGGACTTTATTGTGTGTCCAGAGACCTACCCATCCATCTACTGCCATTGGTGTCTCTTTGGGTTGAGCTCAGGAGTCCACAGTGAATTTGTTTTGGACTTGAGCTAAGGAGCCAGAAGACCTTTAATAATTCTAACACTACCTCTCAGGGATACACCCAAGAAGCATTTTTGTTTCAGTGAACAGTAGGTAAATATGTAAGGAAGATCTGAACGCAGGTGGCCTCACAATTTGAGAAGTAACATTTATTTTCCACCTGACCGAGAACCATCTAGGTGTATTGTTAAAAATGAAAAAAGTCTGCCAGGCAAGGTGGCTCACGCCTGTGATCTGAGCACTTTGGGAAGCCAAAACTGGAGGATTGCTTGAAGCCAGGAGTTTGAGACCAGCCTGGGCAACAAAGTGAGGAGACCAGCCTGGGCAACAAAGTGAGAACCCCATCTCTACAAAAAATGAAAATAAATTAGCCCTGCACATTGGTATGCGCCTATAATCTTAGCACTTTGCGGGCTAAGGTGAGAGGATTGCTTGAGCCCAGGAGTCAGAGGCTGCAGTGAGCCGTGATGTTGCCACTGCACTCCAGGCTGGGTAACAGAGTGAGACACTGTCTCTAAGATAAATGATAAAAATTGAAAAGTGGTAGAAATGGAAGCCAGTCCATGCTGATGTGTTAGGAAGGAAGAAGGAAGCTCGGACTAAGGTTTTTGTGACTATGGGTTTGGGGTCAGTTAAGAGTTCTCGCGGTGGCTCACGCCTGTAATCCCAGCACTTTGGGAGGCCAAGGCGGGCGGATCACAAGGTCAGGAGATTGAGACCATCCTGGCTAACACGGTGAAACCCCATCTCTACTGAAAATACAAAAAAAAAAAAATTAACGGGGCGTGGTGGCGGGCGCCTGTAGTCCCAGCTACTTGGGAGGCTGAGACAGGAGAATGGCGTGAACCCGGGAGGCGGAGCTTGCAGTGAGCTGAGATAGCGCCACTGCACTCCAGCCTGGGTGAAAGAGCAAGACTCTGTCTCAAAAAAAAAAAAAGTTCTCCAAAGTATCTGTCTCAGTGCTAGTTGACTTCATATTGTCTCTTGTAAATGTTGTTTAGGTCCGATTTGATCAATATGTAACAAATCTGCTCCTTCATGTCACATACCTTCTAGATGTATCTACATTTTTAGCTCCTTTCCTAATTGAAGTGTTATTGATGACAACAAAGAGAAAGTATGTTTAACAGTGACCTTCAGACTAAAAATAAAGCGGTGGTTCTCATTAACTAAGGTTAGGGAGAGTGTGTGTATAGTTTGAAAAGGTTATCTGAGATTTTCTTCACTCCCACTAGTTGAAAAGTAATGCATTGAAATCGACTTTTTGCAGTTAAAATACGGTAGTGGCAAGTACAGACTCAGGTAATTAGGTGGGCTTCATCTCCTACCCTAAGGGAAGGATGTTTGTGAAGTACACATAGAAGCACAGATGTTCCAAACCTCTTGGGGCTCTCGTTTTAGTCCAGGAGGTGTTGTGGTTCAAACAGTATGAGTTTCCTACCTAATCAGGAAGGAAAACTTAAAAGCAAAACTTGAACGGCTTCTTAGTTGCTCTTATTCCCTCGTTAGCCCTTGGTTGAATCAGCTCACCAGTTCTTTTCCCCGAGATAGGTGTAGGATAAGAGAAAGAAAACTGTGTTTGGAATCTGAAGACCTGGGTTCAAGTTCTGACTCTGCCATTTACTAAAGTAAAGTTGCTTAAATTTCTGAGTTGGCTTGGGGGATGGTATTTAGGCTTGAATGAAGTGGGTTAGTATCTTTTTATTTTTATTTTTTATTTTTTGAGATAGAGTCTCACTCTGTCTCCCAGGCTGGAGTGCAGTGGTGTGATCTCGGCTCACTGCAGCCTCCGCCTCCCAGGTTCAAGCGATTCTTCTGCCTCAGCCTCCCAAGTAGCTGGGACTACAGGTGCGTGCCACCACGCCTGGCTGTTTCGTTTGTTTGTTTGTTTGTTTGTTTAACAGATACTGGGTTTCACCATATTGGCCAGGCTGGTCTTGAACTCCTGACCTCATGATCTACCCGCCTCAACCTCCAAAAGTGCTGGGACTACAGGCGTAAGCCACCATGCCTGGCCTGTATCTTTTTTCTTTTTTCTTTTTTTCTCTGAGACAGTTTCATTCTGTCCCCTAGGCTGGGGTGCAATGGAGCAATCATGGCTCACTGCAGTCTCCGCCTCCCAAGTTCAAGTGATTTTCCTGCCTCAGCCTCTCTAGTAGCTGGGATTACAGGCACCCACCACCCGGCTAATTTTTGTATTTTTAGTAGAGACAGGGTTTCAACATGTTGGCCAGGCTGGTCTTGAACTCCTGACCGCAGATGATCTACCTGCCTTGGCTTCCCAAAGTCCTAGGATTACAGGCGTGAACCACTGCACCCGGCTGTACAAGTAACCTTTATATATAACCAGTTTATGAAAGACTTAGGATATAAATAGAACCAGTTTATAAGGGATTCCTTCTGATTATGAATGAATTAACCAATTTATGATTGACATCTATAGGAAGAGGGATAACCAAGTTAAAATAGGAAGAGAGAGAGAATGTGTATTCTTAACTTTTTATTTGAAATAACATCCTATCTGTGGAAAAGTTGTAAGAATAACACAAAAAACTCCCACATATTCTTCTCCCAGATTCTCCAGTTGCTTCATTTCACCACTTGCTTCATCATTTGTTAGGAGAGAATGTTAACAATTGAGTGTTTACAGGTCAAGCGAGCATTTAGATCCGTTGCCTAAGATCCCACCGCAGGTAAATGGCAGAGGTCTTTCATGGGAAGGTCCCTGTTTCTCACCATCTTCCTCTACTAGGAAATCTAGAGATCTGCATTCTGGCCAGGTTTCGCCACTAATGTTGGTGTAGCCATGGGCAATTTATTTTGCAGCTGTTCCTCACTCTTGTATTCTAGTGTTTTTGTGTTTTGTTTTGTTTTATTTTTTGAGACAGAGTTTCGCTCTTTGTTGTCCAGGCTGGAGTGCAATGGTATGATCTTGGCTCACTGCAACCTCTGCCTCCCGGGTTCAAGCGATTCTCCTGCCTCAGCCTCCCAAGTAGCTGGCATTACAGGCACCTGCCACCACACCCAGCTAATTTTTGTATTTTTAGTAGAGACGGGGTTTCACCGTGTTGGCCAGGCTGGTCTTGAACTCCTGACCTCAATTGATCCACCTGCCATGGCCTCCCAAAGTGCTGGGATTCCAGGCATGAGCCACTGCACCCGGCCTCTTCCATTCTGTTGATGGAACCCAGTGTCCCTGGCCCTGACTCACCTTGCTGTATAGACAGGTTATCTTCAATGAAATATTCTGAGCTTTTTATCTATAAATTAAATGAGTGTAACTCATTTAAAGCAAAAATAGAGTGAACATTCTATGCAGAGTTTGATGTTGATCATTGGTTAAGTGAGAATGTACCTCTTTTCCCACACTTGGCTTCCATATGAAATAGATGGAACTGCCATAGCTTGATTGATGTTCTGTTTTGTCAGAGGATTAAACAGGGACTTTCTCCTTGTGGGGCAGACTGCCCAGCGATACTGGACTCCTTGCCCTGACCACTGGGATCCTGGGGTCAAGATTCTTCACTTCTCTTCCTGGCTGGCTACAGAGCCCTGAATATACTGCTTCTAGGAGACCAGGGAAGATGACAAGGAGGTTTAGTTTTTAGATTGTTTCTACTTGCTTTGGATTTGAATTGAAATTTTTTTCCCTCCCTTGTTTTGCTGAGAAATAGTTTGGTTTCAATGGAAGTAGATTTTCTAGAACCTTGAACCACGATTGTAAATTGGTGGCTCATGGGCCAGATGTAGCTGGCAAATGTGTTTTTTGGCTTCTTTAATGCTTAAATTATTTTCATTAGTAGCCAACATGTAAAAGCCAGAGTATTTCACATAAAAATCCAGATTCAGCCAGGTGCAGTGACTCTCACCTCTGTGATCCCAGCACTTTGAGAGGCTGAGGCAGGAGGATTGCTTGAGCCCAGGATTTTGAGACCAGTCTGGGCAACGTATTGAGAACTCCTCTCTACAAAAAATTAAAAATTAGCTAGGTGTGGTGACACATACCTGTAGTCCCAGCTACTCAGGAGGCTGAGGCAGGAGGATCACTTGAGCCCAGGAGGTTGAGGTTGCAGTGAGCTGTGATCACACCACTGTGCTCCAGTCTGGGCGACAGAGTGAGACCCTGTCTCAAAACAACAAAACATGCTGGGTGCAGTGGCTCATGCCTGTAATCCCAGCACTTTGGGAGGCCAAAGCAGGTGGATCACTTGAGGCCAGGAGTTGGAGACCAGCCTGGCCGACATGGCAAAACCCCGTCTCTTCTAAAAATACAAAAATTAGCCGATTATGGGGGTGCATGCCTGTAATCCCAGCTACTTGAGTGGCTGAGACACGAGAATTGCTTGAACTGGGAGGTGGAGGTTGCAGTGAGCTGAAATCATACCACTGCACTCCAGCCTGGGTGACAGAGCAAGATTCTGTCTCAAAAAACAAAAACAAAAAAACCCAGATTGCAGTTTCCAGCTTGGGCCTACATAGAGGATTTGGCCAAAACTGGAGTGGAATAGTCATAGCTTGCTACTGTCTCCATCAGCATACTTCACGCCTAGCCCTTTAGACACTTGAATTTTCAACTCCAGACCTAGAACATGAACTCTAGTTTTTAAAGCTGGTGAAGTACAATTTGATGAGCTAGTTAGTGGTGGGTTACCTTGCTCTTGGTTGTCAAAGAGTCCTGCTTTCCTAGCTAGGTAGGTAGAAAAATAACCCAAATAGAACCAGGGCCTTCACTATTATCCTTGCTCCTGTTAGAGTTTCATTTCCATGATTATGGAGCCGGAGTGGCTCCTAGATCCTCAGAGAGCTGTGGGCACCTTTCTTTATATCCTGCTTATTAGGATTCACCGCCTCATCCCCTGCACACAGGTGCCACTGCCGGCAGAGGGTGCTGTCTGCTCACTGAGCCTGTTGTCATCTTGGCTCAGCTGAGCGGCAGCTGTTGGGCATGTGCCCTGGGTCTGTGAGAGTTTGGGCATGTCCATTTGGTTCCCATCCCTAGTGCCCACCCCTTAGACCCTGGCCAGGTTATTGTGTCACTGGGGACTCTGTTCAGTAACAGGAAACTGGGGAAAGTTTAATTGTTTTCTCCTCTCCCTTTTTCCCATGCAGCTGAACAAAAGGTTCATCCTCAGTTTTCTCCATGCCCATGGGAAGCTGTTTACCCGGATTGGGTAAGTGTGCAGGATGTTTATTTTATTTTCCTACATTACAAGTCATTTTGGAATTTAATATTGTTAGCAACTGGACTGTGTTTGTAACTGAGGGCACAGGGTGTGAATTCTTAGAGGCCTCCACCTTCTCTTCTCTTCCCTTCATCTTCTGTCCTACTGTGCTCATGAAATTTGGTAAATATTACTCTCTATCTCTCTTGTTTCTTCTTTCTCTACCTTTACTAAAACACTCCTTTAAATACAATCTTGTCCCAGCCCCCACCCCAGTCCCTCTGGGTTTCTCTTTCCTCTGCCTTCCGGCTTAGGTCCCTAGTGAGTGCCTCAGGGCAGTTGTGCTAAATCCCTGGGTGCAGCTGTCAGGGGGTCCTCCTTGGGAAGAATACTGTCCACTACTTTTCCATCAAAAATAAGAGTAACATTTTCTTTCTATATCCTTTTGACCCATATCCTTTCCTCCTATGCTCAGATTCCTTTGCCATATTGCTGATCTCATTAGATACCAAGCCTCTTACGGTTTCATCATCCACCATGGATTTCCATAGACATCTCAGGGAAGGTAGTGTGTGCAAAACTAACACTTGACTGCTTAAATTCCTGGAAACAGATCGAGTTTTGAGTATTCCTTTATTCCTTGGATGGATCCGAGTTCTTCCTCTCTGCATAAAACTAGTGATCCTAAGCCCAACGTAATGCCTACACGCCAGAGCAGATGGATGCCTGGTGCCTCTTTAGTATAGGATCTCCCTGAGTATAGGAGAGTGAAGAAAGTAGTAGGTGGCAGTGCCCCCAGACCAGTCTTCCACTAGACCAGTTTTCTACTGGATTCTAATATTTTCTGAGTTGGAAGTTGTATTGTGAGCTACCCTTTGGGGTGATTTGTTTTGAATTATGAATACCCCAGTTATTGTCAATGTTTCCCTTTCACTTCCCGTCATAACTTCGTAAGTTTATCTGTAATTCTCTAGAAGGCTTTTTTTTGAGACAGAGCCTTGCTCTCTTGCCCAGGCTGGAGTGCAGCGGCATGACTCGACTCTCTGCAACCTCTGCCCTCTGAGTTCAAGTGATTCTTCTGCCTCAGCCCCCCAAGTAGCTGGGATTACAGGCACATGCCACCGCGTCTGGCTAATTTTTGCATTTTTAGCAGAGATGGGGTTTCACCATATTGGCCAGGCTGGTCTTGAACTCCTGACCTCATGTGATCCACCTGCCTCGCCCTCCCAAAGTGCTGGGATTACAGCCGTGAACCACCACGCCCGGCCTAGAAGGCTCTCTTAGTGGAGGTAGGGGCTATGTCAGTTTCCACATACCGTTGTAGTTAACTTTTTTGAGAAGCGGAAAGGCTTGGTTCCACTGGAAGAAACTCTGCTCCACGGGCGGTGGACTAGAAAGTGTGCTTATTACATATTCATTTGGTATCAACCTGGGTAAGAATGATAGTGATGGTCATTGCAAGCATAGTTTGGATTTCAAAATGACTTGGGAAAATTGGACAAGGTACCAGTAGATGAATCTCTATCTGTAGACATAACAGGTGGAGACATTCACTTAGGCAAAGTAAACTAGATGCATCACTGGTCCCATCTCCTGCCTCCCACCTCCCCCGTCCTGCCACTGCCACTGCCACCAGTTTAAGTTCCACTCTGGCAGTTTTTGCCTCACTGTTGTGTTCCTAGAGCCTGGCATGTAGTATTTGTTGTACAAATGAATGAATTATAAAAAGACGGATGGATTGCTAAGCACTGCAGAGAAATATGTAGTATTCTAGTAGGTTACTGTAGACCCAAGACAATCACTAGTGAGTAATGTAAGGCTGTAGTTACAAGGTTGAAGGTGGATAAGATGATATCGGTATCATCTTAAAAATAACACATCCGAGTAGGAAATACCATTGTGCTACACTTAAAGTGACAGTTGATGGTACTCCTGCTTCTTTCTTATTCTTTTTTTTTTTTTTTTTTTTTTTTTTTTAAAGAGATGGAGCCTGTCTGTGTTACCCAGGCTGAAGTGCAGTGGCTATTCACAGGTGTGATCATACCGCACTATAGCCTTGAACTCGTGGCTCAGCCTCCCGTGTCACTGGGACTGCATGCTCACACCACCACAGATGGCTTATTTATCTTTTTTTTTTGAGACGAAGTCTCGCTCTGTCGCCCAGGCTGGAGTGCAGTGGCGCGATCTCCGCTCACTGCAAGCTCCGCCTCCCGGGTTCATGCCATTCTTCTGCCTCAGCCTCCCGAGTAGCTGGGACTACAGGTGCCTGCCACCATGCCCGACTAATTTTTTTTTTTTTTTTTTTTTTTTGTATCTTCAGTAGAGATGGGGTTTTACTACGTTAGCCAGGATGGTCTCGATCTCCTGACCTCGTGGTCCACCCGCCTCAGCCTCCCAAAGTGCTGGGATTACAGGTGTGAGCCACCGCGCCCGGCCTATTTATCTTTTATTCTCGTTTTTTCACCTTTCTCTCCTTTACTACTTTTCACTCAGTGTTTTCTCTCCTTTTTTCCTTTGCCTATGTTTGTTCTTTAAATTTTCCCGTACCATGTTGCCCTAAGTCAGGATTTCCCAACCCTTGGTGCTGTCGACATTTTGAGCCAGATGACTCTGCTGTGAGGGGCTGTCCTGTGCGTTGTAGGATACTTGGCAGCATCCCTGCCTTCTTCCCACTGTGCACCAAATGTGCTGACTCAGAATGTCTCCAGACATTGCCACGTGTTCCCTGGGAGACAAAGTTGCCCCTCACTGAAAACCACTACTCTAGATATTTCTTGCCCTGTTAGAGACTTTTGGGAATAAAAAAGTTATAAATCTTGGTGCAGAATGTAGGAACATTTAGGATATATTTTTATCAGGTTATGCAGTAGCTAAACACCCTGATTTCCCCTCCACTTCTAAAATTCTTATATTTTGACACATATTTTGGAATAAGTTTGGGAAAGGACCACAGTAATGATGAAAAAGCGAGATAATGACCGGGTGCGGTGGCTCACGCCTATAATCCTAGCATTTTGAGAGGCCAAGGTGGGAGAATCGCCTGAGCCCAGGAGTTCAAGACCAGCCTGGGCAACATAGGCAGAAGACCCCATCTCTCTTTTTAATGAGTATAATAGATAATTTTTTTAAAAGCCAGAAAATGAGATCTGAAAGGAAAAATTAATTTTGAAAAACATTAAGGTAAAAAAATACTTATTTAGAGACAGCTGTAGGGTGCCTAACATGTTTAAATATAAAAGGGTCCTAATAGGATAGTCTTGATTTTTATGGGATGACAGTAAGAGAAATTGGCTTCTGTTGTAGCTGGAGAGATTTGGGTTAGGTGTAAGAAAATTTCACAGAAGGGAGGATGTTTGAGAGTTTTCTTTTTTGGAGGCCTTTAAAAATGAATAGATATCTCATTTGTCTGAGGTGGTTTACTGTGTTCCAGGTTATTTTTCAGGATCTCTTTTATTCCTGCATATAACATATTCTGTTGTCAAAAAGGTAAAGCCAGCCCAATTTCACCTTCCTAAGAAATGACTTACGGTAGTTTTCATTGAGGAAAATGTATGTGGATTCTAGGCACTACACTCCCTCTATGGGTATCCTCTTATTCTGTCCTGGAGGTAAAATAAAATTGAGCGCCATATTTATTCTGGAAGGCAGAAACAGAAATAACATTTCTGTTGCAGGGAAAAAGGTATAGAAGTCTGTAAGACTAGGAAAGCAATGAGCCCAAGCCACACACAACATCGTAGACTGTTGCCTAATTACGAAGAAGATGTGAAATGTGGGCGGTGTTGAAAACGAATTAAGAGTGAGGAGATTGTAATGGGGAGCAGCTGAAGGCACATCACTCTCCCGCCTGCCCTTTCGGAAAAGCTCGGACGCTGCGCTTCCAGGCATGGTCTGCTCTGTGCCTGGTGCTCCACACTGCGTCAGCAGAGACTCGAATGCCTACTATGTGCAAGATAAGTCTCTTAACTCCCAGCACTAGCTGACGAGAGGTTCAGAGCTTTAGAGGAAATATTCAGTGCCAAAAAGAGTTTGTTTTTCACCACTTACTAGTTACAAGATCTTGAGAGTAAACAAGTCAGAGCTGCTGCGGGCTTCAACTAACCTGATCAGTGGTTTAAAGATATGGTCTCTGAGGTCCATTCCAGTCCTTATGTTCTGTAGTACTATGATTTGTTTTTTTTTTTCTCATTTCCACCCTGTCACATGGCTTAGTTTTTTGGTTTTGGTCTTTTGCTCCTGGGTTATTCGTATCTTGCTCGTTTTTTAAAAATAAGAGGTTGAGAAAAACTAACCTGGATTGTTTTCTGCAGAGAATGTTGTCTAGCCCAGCTGTGTTCCTCAGCATCTGAGGGCTGAGTCCTGCTCGGTTAGTCACCGTCTGAGTCAGTCCTGGGCCTAGGTCCCGGTGTTGTCTGAAAGATTGGTTTCTTGAAACTGCCATTCAAATGAAACAAGGTGTCTCTAGAGATCACATCACAAGGCAGCCACTTTAGTCAGTGACACACACAGCCCGAAAACGATGGTATCTTCTGAGGTTTTAAAGGATAGGGACAGAGTCATCTCGGATTCGGGAGAAGTACTCAGTCGGGGTGCCATATGGCTCCTGACAGACCCTTTCCTGGTGAGAGGCAGATCACACCTGCACTTGGACTCCACTGAGAGAGGTTAGGAAGCTGGCAGCCTATAGGCTCTGAATTTGTGACAAATAGTATGCTTTTGCTTCCTCTTATTGCCTTGATCACAGTTACCACTTTAGCTTTTACTTGCTTGCCTAGTCATGCTATTTGCATAGCTTCGAAGTCTCTTGGAATTCAAAGACTGATATATTTATTTTGTACTTTTAATTTTTAAAAATATAATGTTTGTGTCTGATTTGCTTTTTAAATTAACAGATGTTCTTAAATACAAAAGTAAGATGTATTCATTATGGGAGAAATCTTTTCTTTCTTTACAGTGCTCTTTGTAAAGTATTTAGAAAACTCAGCAAAGAAGAACAAATAAAAAATTACCCATATTCCTACCACCTAGAGATAACTCCACCGTTAAAATTTGGTAAAATTTTTTCAATTTTTTTCCTACATATCACATACACACTTTTTTTCTATTGCTTTACAACTATTTTCATTTAATATGTTTGGAAGTTTCTCTCACATGATTAAAAAATGTAATACAACTTAAAAAAACTAGTATTCAATTGTGTGCATGTTCCATCTTAATCATCTATTGTTGGGCACTTTAGATTGCTTCCAATTTTTGGCGATTATAAATGACCACTTTTTGTATGTTTTCTCTGTTGCTTCTCTTCCTGCTTTATTGCTGAGACTGCTGTTTCTTCTTGGCTATAATTTTATAATTATTACATAAGTATTATCCAGAAATCCTTATAAAAGTATAACATTAAAACTAAGAGTAAAATTTCTTTTAACTCTGTGCCCTCCAAAAAGATAGTAGTAGACATCAGGGCGTGTATTCTTCCAGACCTTTCACTCATCTACCTACATACTTACGTACGTGTCCATCAGTAATGCGGGGTGAAGCAAAGATTATTTCTCAGAGAGAAAGACATAAAACTACTTACAGGTAGTTTGAGGCCAGAATTAGATAGCATTTTGGTTACAAAACTGGAAACCAGAAACCACCTACTGAGCCCTGAGGAGGGTTCCTCTCTTTATCTGTGCCTCCCGTGGTTACTGCTGAACAAGGCTGGTTTTGCATGAATAGATCCACCTTCTCTCACATCTCACATTTGAAGTTACTCTAACTTATATCCTTCTGCTTTCAGTTTTTTCTTTTGTTTTAATCATGTTGAATTAGTTGGAAGGCAAAGGGAGAATTTTTTTTAAAAAACTTTTTATAAAAAGGAAATGTGGACATTTGACCTGGTGCTCGTTCAAGACTTCAGTCTGACCCAGAGAGTGTTAATGGATCTGTTTCCAATTCCTACTCCAGGGAAGAGGCTTCCTCAGACACAGCTTCGAAGCAAAACTGTCCCACGTGACACTTCTGTCCTGTCGTTCTGTGCTGGCTCTCTACTGCCTTTCAACACGGAGACACATGGCTCTGAAACTTGCCCAGCGTGGCTGCTTTTCAAGCAGAGTGAACGCTGCTATTCTCGTAACGAGAAGTGCTAGCCCCCTCCCCACCTCTGACCAGAAAGAGTGCTGCACAGTGTCAGGGTTTAAAATGAAACCTTTGTTAGAGCCCGTGGGGAAAAACGGATCTAGTCCAGCCCCAAACATGTCACTCTCTGCCATTCCACATCTTCCAAGAGTTTTAACGGCTCTGAAATTTTTTAGAGAAAAAAAAAAGAGTTTTGTTTTGTTTTGGAGGGGTGGGTACTTGAAATGGCATGTGGAGAAAAAAAGCAAATGCATGGCATCTTTTGTGCCAATGAAAATGAGGACAGCTCAGCAGAGGAGGGAACTGGAATGTAAACTGTAATTGACCCATAACTGTGGCACGACTTCTGGGCACCAGGGGGTCAGTAATAAGAGTTGCCATCCAAGTGCAAGGAGTGAAGATTGCCAAGATTCTAGAAAACCTGGAGTTTTCTAATCCAGGGAGGACACTTCCCAGTCGGGAAGGGCCGAGATGGGTGAAGCTAGAAGCACCTTCCTCTAGAACTTGAAACTGCTTTCTATCTTTTGAGAAGGATTACCTTCCTTGTGGCTTTTCAGAAGCTATTTGTTAATCCAACCTGGAGCTGTTTCCCCAACCCCACAAGTATGTCACAAGCAGTTTGTTTATTTGGGGGCTGGGGGACATGGTAAAAAATACTTTGGTGACCACGAATTGTTTGGCATAACCCTAAGGCCCATGTGCCTGGCTACTCTCTCTAGCACCAAGCTTGAACTTGCTTTTTATTTCTGAAGACTTCAGCTGTGGTTTGTTTCTGTTGCCAAAGAAGCTCCAGGCATGCACCACTGTTTGGGATCCAGTGGCCACATTTGGCAAGGAGTGATTTGAATGACCTCTCCTTAGGAGCCCTAGGTCACTGGCTAGATTTCTGCCTCCCTGCGTTACAGCCTCTTCCTGTATTGGGAGTGGCACTTGGCCAGGGCATTCTATTTCCACTGGCCTGAAAACATACAGACCCCGATGAGCAGAGCCTTGTGAGAGGGAGGAGGACGGCAACACACGAAGAACTGAGACAGATGACTGGGGGCTTCTAGGTCTAGGCATTCTTCAAGGGGAAATTTGGGATCGTTAGGCGGAACAGTCAGTGTGATAGTACCTCAGAAGACAATAGCAGAACTATGTCTGGTTACCTAAAGTAAACGCTTGGGTAAAATATCTTTAGGCCGAGTGCAGTGGCTCATGCCTGTAATCCCAGCACTTTGGGAGGCCGAGGCAGGTGGATCACTTGAGGTCAGGAGTTTGACACCAGCCTGGCCAACATGGTGAAATCCCGTCTCTACTAAAAATACAAACATTAGCCGGGCATGGTGGCACATGCCTGTAGTCCCAGCTACTCAGGAGGCTGAGGCAGGAGAATTGCTTGAACCTGGGAGGCAGAGGTTGCAGTGAGCCGAGATTGGGCGAAAAAAGCGAAACTTTGTCTCAAAAAAAAAAAAAAATTTTTTTTTTTTTGTTTAGATTCACATTACTTTTTTAATTGAATTAAGTTTCATACCAGAGAGTTTAGGGACTGTGAAGGTTTCAGGAAATTTGTTGAGTATTTAGAAAAGCCGATGGTTTCAGAGAGAAACTTTGATATTAGCTTGAACACAGTTATTGCCAGGGGTGAGGAAATAGCATACCAAAGCATAATAACTCATAGTGATTTATCCAAAACTTGAGTTGTTTGCATCTCTGGACCCTGAAAACTCCTTTATCTTGAATTTGTTCAAAATTGCAGGATACCGGGAAGGTTTGTGAAAGTAGCAAAGAAATGTCCTAGGCAGTAGTTGTCTGGTGTGTGTGTGTGTGTGTGTGTGTGTGTGTGTGTGTGTGTGTGTGTGTGTGAGACAGAGTGAGAGAGAGACTGAAAGAGAGAGGTGCCTCATTGATGGGTTTTCTGAATCTGCAGGATGGAGACATTCCCTGCAGTGGCTGAGAAGGTCCTCAAGGAGTTCCAGGTGTTACTGCAGCACAGCCCCTCTCCCATTGGAAGTACCCGCATGCTGCAGCTTATGACCATCAATATGTTTGCAGTACACAACTCCCAGCTGAAAGGTAAGGCATGTTTAGTTTCTTCATCTAGAATATAGACAGATAGAGATTAATGTAGCTTCTTTCTTGTGTTACCATACCTACCATACCTACCTCCCCCCACCCCACCCCCGAACACACACACCCTACCCTACGCTTCCTACCATTGTCTCAGATATTTAGTTTACTTTGAAATCTGTATGACTCTCTAGTGCTTGGGTGGGATGGAAGGAGGGAATCATGGGTATAGAGCTTAATTTGCAAATGCAGAGATGCAGTTGCACATCTGGCCACGCGAAAGGCAGCAGCAAGGCCTCTTGAAGGCTGCAGACCCAGAGCCTCTCCCAAGGGAGAGGCATTGCTGAGATGTTTCATTGCAGAGACCATACGCTTGGCAGGGATTGGGAATAGCTGTTTCTGGACTCATGTACCCTGTTTGTTCAATATGGAAAAGTCTAGTTCCCTATGGGATATCCCTAGTGGGAGCCTGCCAGGGAGTAAGAACCGAGAATTGATGAGCTTTGGTGACTCAAATCTGGAAGCACAAAAACCACCAGTCCCAGAATTTAGCTATTATACCAGTGTGCATTCTAAAATGTTTTTCTGAACATTTTGGGGTTTTTTCATAGGGGGTCGGGTGGGTGTGGAAGTAGAGGGGAGAAGGACAGATTGGCAGGGTTTTAAATGTTCTGATGACCAGGTCAGGGTCAAAGGATGTTACCAGGATTCCTTCCCTTCCCTTCCGTTCCCTTCATTTCACTTAGGTAAGGATGATATGGTATGACTTGATGGAATTATGTAGTACAGGGATGACATTATTTTCTGTGTCTGTTCGCAAGGGTAATTTGGTCCATGCTGCCTAGGAGTCATTTCAGAACACTGACAGAGAGTGTTTGGTCTCAGGGCAAGAAATGCCAGGAAGTGGGAATTGGCCCATAGAGACCCTGCTGTAAAACAGATCTGGTGTTTCTTGACAGAGTGGCGCTGGGTCTCTTGTTGCCCCTTTTCATAGCACTTTCTCTCACCATGAAGTTGATTGATTTATCTCCCCGTTTGTACTTAAGGGTTATGCTTCACTTGGTTGTGGTGGGGGAGTGAATATGCCACACTTTGCCTTGAAATGGAAATGCGGATCTTTCTGGGACTAGGCAAGGTCCTCTCAGAGTGTGTCTGGGTTCTCAGTTACTTCTGAATCCTAGAGGATTTCCTCCTCTCATGCTGCCTGCTACAGCGTTTAGAATTCCCAGCAGAAAGTGAGATCCAGGGGCTTAGATGCCTTTTTGAACTTGGCTAATTTTTCCTGAGATGGCTATTTGGGTAAATGGCCCTGAGGAAGCATCGATTCTTAAGTGGCAGCACTGGTTTCCAGGGAGAAGAGAACAAAGTTTGTAAAATGCTGTGCTGGTGAGGCCCAAAGGGGAGGGACAGTCTGCTACCAAGTAGGAAGCCCACCTGACTCTGGAAATGGGCCCTCCTGAGGTGCCCTCCTGTTCATTCCCATCTCCCACTAAAAACAACCCACAGAGTTCAGTGAGCTACCTGTCACAGAGCTGCAGCCTCAGCCAAGACATTGTTCCAGCACCAAATGACCTGTGGCTTCTTTAGGTGTGAATGTAAAGGACCTGCCTTTAAATACCAAAAATTAGCTGTGCTTGGTGGTGGGCACCTGTAATCCCAGCTTCTCAGGAGGCTGAGGCAGGAGAATTGCTTGAACCTGGGAGGTGGAGGTTGCAGTGAGCCGAGATTGCAAACTATACTGCAGCCTGGGCAGCAGAGTGAGACTCCATCTCAAATAATAATAATAATAATTAAGAATTAAAAGCCCTTGCCCATGAAGCATCTGTTTTCAGCAGCTTCTATTCCATGGAAAGGAATACCTTGGCCTTTTAATAGGCCACCAGTGAGTCTTTTTCTTGTAGCTGTTGTTAAGTAAAGGTTAAGAAAATAATGGTAGGCCGGGTGCGGTGGCTCACGCCTGTAATCCCAGCGCTTTGGGAGGCCAAGGCAGGCAGATCACCTGAGGTCAGGAGATTGAGACCAGCCTGGCCAACATGGCGAAACCCTGTCTATACTAAAAATACCAAAAATTAGCTGCGCTTGGTGGTGGGCACCTGTAATCCCAGCTTCACAGGAGGCTGAGGCAGGAGAATTGCTTGAACCTGGGAGGTGGAGGTTGCAGTGAGCCGAGATTGCAAACTATACTGCAGCCTGGGCAGCAGAGTGAGACTCCATCTCAAAAAATAATAATAATAATTAAGAATTAAAAGTAAAAAAAAAAGAAAATACAGGTAAAAGGAAGGTAAGATGGTGAGTACAGAGAAAGAAATCGGTTGTTCCCTGATGTGAGGCCAAGGCACTTTTTCTAGGACTCTTCCATGGTGGGTCATAACGAGTACCCTCTAGCCAGGAGAGACATGGAAAAATAAAGCCCGTACTTGAGACCCTACTTTTCATGACTGGTCTGCTCCTGACTCTCACCTCATTGTCACCTCGATGAGGTCACTGGGGCCAAGAAGAGTATGGGTTGAGGTGTTCAGAGGCTCCAAGGGTGTTTCAAGGAAAAACGGCCCAGGCCACAGGATATAACACTCAGTGAGGACAGAGAGCTCTGTGGACGTGCTGCCAAGTACCCAGTGTGCAGCTGAGGTGGCCATCCAGACCCCGCTGTGTGGGCTGCCATTGGGACAGGGGCGAGCAGAGTGCTCGGCAGGGCTGGCTGGTGGGAAGATGCACTTTTCCATTTCCCAGCACATGAGTCATCATCTTTGGTCCCCTGTGCTGTGCTGTGCTTGCCTGGACAGTGGCAATAAGGGGGTGTTGTGGCTGAGTAGCAGCATCTGTGCCGGGGGTGGAGAAGGAGGGGGGTTGGGGAGAGGGTAAAGATTGAAATCCTTCACTAATCAGCAGCAGTTCGAATCACATTTTTATGAGTAAGGAAGTGATAAATCAGCGCTGTGTGTTCAACCCCCAAGTCCCGTCAGCCAGTGCCCTTCTAAAGGTTTCTCCCCTGGCCAGTCTGCATTCTGTCAGAGTTGCCACCCACCATCAGGGCCCTGGCTGCCTGAAACCAGGAAGCAAGAGCCTGATGCTGCCTTGCCCTCCCAGGTACTGGGGTCTGTGGTGAATTGGCAGTCACTGCAAGCTACAGAACATCTGGGCCATCATTTTTCTTTCCATTCCTTCTTGGACATGTCCTTCTGGGTGGGTGGCTGCATATGTCAGTTTCCGGACTCTGTGGAGAAGGAGCATTCCAGCCGGAAGCAGAAGTGATCTTGTGGCCCACCAGGCCATTGAGATCCTCACAGTCTCTACCTGGGTCTTCCCTGTAGATGTGGTGCCTAAGGAGTGTGATTTGGAGAGCCACAGGGGAGCAGATTCCTTTCTCTAAAAGTGTGTCCTTTGCTGGTGCCTCTAATGCTACCGTGAATCATTTGTTTCTTGTGTGTTCAGTGCCACCCTTGTATAACTATCTTCTTTCTGCAATATCAGTAATCCAGGATGGAAATCATATTGTTGCTAACGTTTTACTGTGATTACTTTTCAAGTGTGTAGAAAAGCTTTGGACACTGCAGAAGGCAAAATGAAAGGAAAAGTTTAGATGGTGGTGAGAGAATGGCATCTTTGCCTTTCCCTAGGTTATGGTTTTCCTAGGAGCCCACTCTGCTCTTGGAGGCAGAGGATGTGAGGCCAGATTTGCCCCCCTTCCTACAGGGCGAAATAAGTTGAGTAATGCCACATTATTTAACCAACTAAACTTTCCAGTTTCAGCAGTGGTCTTAAAACTCACGGGTTCACGGGTGTTGGTGGAGAGACCTTGATCTCCTCTCGGTTGGGCCCTATGCAGAGTCCTACGTCAGTGGATACAGAATTCTAGAATCCTCATACTGCACACTCAGGTAGTTGGGGATAGATAAATTTGAGGGGTGGGACAAGGGACGTTTGAGGGCCTTGGCATAGGGCCTGGTATGTATTAGGCATTCAGTAAGCATTTGCTGAGTGCATGGGTGAAGAAGGCAACAGTTCTGGGAAAGCCAGCTCTCACCGAGCAGTGTTTCTTACGTGGACCAGGTCCAAAGCTGGTGGTGAGATAGGTGGTTCCCAGAGTGATGTCATAACTGATAATCTCTCTAAGGCATTCCTGAGCCTGAAGCGAGGAAGGGCTTTCTCCACGTGCCTCCGTATTTAACACTTCGGTAGTCATCTCATTGGTTGACGTGGTGCCGGAGGGTGACCTATTGATCTAAACCACAAGTACTCCAAGAATTTTAATTTTTAAAAATTTTGTAATTTAAGGAAATAAAACTCTAGTTTCTTGAAGGGAAGAATTGAAGCAGCATTGTGGTAGGGGAGCACTGAAACCCCATTGCATCCCCCATCTGTGCCCAATTTGTTCCAATCTGGCCCTTTTTTTTTTCTTCCTTCATTTTCTCTCCCCCTCTTGTTCTCTCTTTTTCAAAAATGTTTTATAATTCCTGGAATCAAAACCACTTCAGGCACACACTGTTTTATTTTACTGTATTATTGGATTATACCGCCTATAAATCACTGGATGTTACTCATTGGCCACCACTGGAATAACTTCCCTTTTCTGTGCCCTGGCTCCCTCTGTTTTCCTCTACCAGTTTCATAGCACATACATCCATTTAGCTTTGCAGAGAAGCCCCGGTGGCAGCAAGAGGGCACCCAAGAGACACTTCTTGCACGTGCTATTGGTATTGCCTGCTTTTAGGGAATATTTGGGAGCTGGGATTAAGGTAGAGCCTGACTGGCATTCCTTTCATTATCATTTATGCTTGCTTTTTTTGGGTGGGGGGAGGGAGGGACAGAATCTTGCTCTGTCGCCCAGGCTGGAGTGCAGTGGTGCGATCTCGGCTCACTGCAACCTCTGCCTCCCGGGTTCAAGCAGTTCTCCTGCCTCAGCCTCCTGAGTAGCTGGGGTCACAGGCGCCCACCACCACGCCTGGCTAAGTTTTGTATTTTTAGTAGAGACGGGGGTTTCACCATGTTGGCCAGGCTGGTCTCGAACTCCTGACTTCGTGATCCGTCCGCCTCGGCCTCCCAAATTACTGGGATTACAGGCATGAGCCACTGCACCCAGCCTTATGCTTGCTTTGAATGGTGTTAGTAATCCTGAATTACAGAAGGTAGAGGGAGTGTCACATGTGGGTCTCCAGAGGGAGAGAGAGCTAGCTAGCTAGCTACAGCTGTCTGTATAGGACTGATAGCTTTAACTTGTAGGTGTGGGATGTTTCATGCCATTGTTGTGATGGGAGGTGACTCTAGTTGAGTTTGGTTCGCAACCGAAGTGTCCTTGTCTTCCAGCATACAACAATCTCAGAGACGTTCAGAAAAGCAGTATGCTCCTCTGTGGTGATTCACTTCTGTCGTGAGTCTCTTACCCAAGCAGAATGTATGAAGTGCCTAATCCTCCGCTTGTCAGAACAGTTGTACAGGAAATCCACCTTTCATAAGGGGTTAGGCTTGAGTTAGCTGTGTAAACTGGCCCCCTCATTCCTCCTCCTACATCTCTGGTGGTAGAAACCCTTGGGCTTTTTCTCTACAAGGATCTCTGTGGGTAGATTTCCGTAGGGAATCATTGCCACCTGACTTTCATTTTCAGGATGCCTCAGTTTAGAGAAAATGAACAGAGCCAGCCTGAGCAAGGAATTTTGTGAGAAGTAGATTCAAAGTAGAAGTAGATTCAAAGGTCAGAATAGGTTAGGCTTTGGAAGGCAGGCCAGAGAAGGATGCATGCTTCAGCTCTGCCCTCTTTCCCTGTGGGGGAGATAGAACTCTTGACAGGCCGCTTAGTGCAGACTGCTCTCGGCACTCTCTGCCTGTGGATCTGCCTGTAGTTCCCTGAAGAGAAGTGAGTATGTCAAGGGACCCACCTGTCTTTCCACTTCTGGGTTCCAGGGTCCTTGTTTTCAGAATGTATTTAGGCTGGGGAAGGAGAAATAGGAAAAGCCAAAGAAATGAGAAAATTGTCATCTCAGTAAAATTAAGCCTTTTATCATATCAGTTGAAGAAATGGTCTTTGTTTTGCCCCAAGATAGCCATGTGGTTTGGTGTCCATGGCTGCTTTGGTGTGGAGTGAGAGATGCAATATCCCATGTTGCCCAGATTTCGTTTCTTTTGCCGTTTTATAGCTTGTCAATTTGATTGTTTGTGGTTTTCCCTTTTTTTTTTTTTTTTTTTTTTTTTTTTTTTGCCCCGACATGGACTTATTCTGAAGGAGAAACATTATTTGGAGGAATTTTGGCAGCAGGACACTTTTCTTTTCCTTTCTTTTCCTTTTTTTTTTTTTTTTTTTTTTTTTTTTTTTTTTTGGAGACGGAGTCTTGCTCTGTGGCCCAGGCTGGAGTGCAGTGGCACGATCTCAGCTCACTGCAACCTCTGCCTCCTGGGTTCAAGCGATTCCCATGCCTCAGCCTCCCGAGTAGCTGGGATTACAGGCACAGGCCACCACACCCGGCTAATTTTTATATTTTTAGTAGAGACAGGGTTTCACCACATTGGCCAGGCTGGTCTCAAACTCCTGACCTCAAGTGATCCGCCCACCTCAGCCTCCCAAAGTGCTGGGATTACAGGCATGAGCCACTGCGCTTGGCCTGGCAGCAGGACTTTCAGCTACCTTTTCAGAGCTCTAAGTTTTGTAAATGTATAGCTTGGGTGTGGGTGTGGGGCTCAGGCCAGATTCATACTGTATGCTGAATTCACAGAGAAAGTAGGTATGTTCTAGGGGGCTGGTGAGGGGTGGGAAGTGTTGAACTTTGGACCCTAACCAAGTAAATGCCTATATGAGGAAGAATTGTAGTTTTCAGAGGGCGTGACCAGTAATGACAACCACAGCAATGACTCCATGCTCTAATACATGATGACACTTTATAGTTACTGCATATGTGTTTTCCTTTGATTCTCTTGTCAGCCCTGTGAGACAGGCTGGACAGATATTTTGTGTCCTGTTTCATAGATGAGGAAAATCATATCAGAAAGGTTAAGCAGGGCTGCACAGCTAGTAAATTATACACAGGTGTCAAGTGTCCATCCTTTGATATCAGAAAAAAGAAAAAGCTTCTCTGGGCAGCTAGACAGTGCAAGGAATGTCCCCCCAAATCTGAGCACTGTTGTTCTCTGATGAAGAAAGTGACCTGTGAATCTGATCTGAGATAGGAAGAGGAACAGGAGTAAAGGTAAGAGAGTTGGGGTAAGTCAGAATTCTCTGAGTGGCGTGACACTCAGGTGGGGCTACAACAAATAAGCTAGCAGAAGGTTGTTGTTTGGGCAACTCAGGGCTGTCTGGAGTTCATGTTCATTATTGTCATGGGTAGAGGAAACCTCCCTCTCACATGGAAAGCGCAGTCCATGACTAGTTGGTAGAAGTGTTTACTCTTTCTCTTGGCTTAGGATACATAGTGTCTCTTAAAAAGGGGGTGGGCGGATTTTTTTAAGGAGCATTGTTTCATATTTTCACCATCATGTCTAATATCCCTCTTCTTTTAGAAAAGAGGCCTCTCACATGCTTTTCTTAGGAGAGACTGTGCTACTTTTTGTGGCCTGGGGGGAAGGTAGATATGTCATTGATACAGAAAGGAGTGTGAGAGTATAAAACATCTGAAAGAAGGATAAAGTAAACACACATGTAACTACCACCCAGGTTAAGAAATAGAATATTGTCAGTCCCTCAGATGTTCCTATGTACTTCCTCTCTGTATAGCTGTAGTTACCTCACCAACAGGTAACTATCATCCTGACCTGCGAATTCATTTCCTTGCTTTTCTTTGTAGTGTTATCACCTAGTATGTATATATGTATGTGTGTGTATATGTATATATATGTAAAATATAATTTGGGGCCAGGCACGGTGGCTTGCGCCTGTAATCCCAGCACTTTGGGAGGCCGAGGCGGGCAGATCACTTGAGGCCAGGAGTTCAAGACCAGCCTGGTCAACGTGGGGAAACCTTGCCTCCATTAAAAATGCAAAAATTAGGCCGGGCGCGATGGCTCACGCCTGTAGTCCCAGCACTTTGGGAGGCTGAGGCGGGTGGATCATGAGGTCAGGAGTTCTAGACCAGCCTGGCCAAGATGGTGAAACCCCATCTCTACTAAAAATACAAAAATTAGCCCTGCACGGTGGCAGGCGCCTGTAATCCCAGCTACTGAGGAGGCTGAGGCAGGAGAATCGCTTGAACCTGGGGAGTGGAGGTTGCAGTGAGCCAAGATTGTGCCACTGTACTCCAGCCTGGGCAACAAACAGAGTGAGGCTCCGTCTCAAAAAAAAAAAGTTAGCTGGGCGCAGTGGCATATGCCTGTAATCCCAGCTACTCAAGAGGCTGAGGCACAAGAATTGCTTGAACCCAGGAGGTGGAGGTTATAGTGAGCCAAGATCACACCACTGCACTCCAGCCTGGGTGACAGAGCGAGAGTTTGTCTCAAAAAAAGTCAAAATAAAACAAAACACATAATTTTGCTTTGCTTGCATAGAGATGGTATCGTGCTAATCATACTATTTATATTCTTTTCTCCCTGGTTTATTTTATTCCATATGTTTGCGAGTTCTGTCCATGTTCATATGTGTAGCTGTAGTTGATTTATTTTCATTGCAGTAATCTTACATTTTAGTCACATTAGTTTATCCATTTTTCCATTGATGGGCATTTCGGTTGTTTTCTCTTTGGGACTATTATAAGCATTGAGTCTATTGATGGTTACTGCAGTTATTGGTACCTTGAGAGTTATATGCATCATCCTATATTTTAAAATGAATTTTGTTGAAGTAAAGTTTACATACAATAAAACACACCCATTTTAAGCATGCACTTCAGTCAGTTTGACAAATTTACATGCCCAAGTTACTAACCATCACAATCAAGATAGAGAGCGTTTCCATCATCCCCAGAAGTTCTCTTTGTGCCCATCCCAGTTGATCTCCATCCCACCCCTTGCCCTAGGCGACTGCTTATCTGCTTTCTGTCACCGTATGTTAGATTTGTCTTTTCTAGAGTTTCATGTAAATGGAATCCTAAGAGTGTGCACTCTTTGTGTCTGACTAATGTCTGACTTCTTTAGCTCAGCATAGTAATTTTTAGATTTATTCATGTTGTTACATGTATCAGTATTTCATTTCCTTGCATTACTGAGGAGTCTGGATATTGTGTAGTTTTGTTTATCCAGTTACCTGTTGATAAACATTTGGGTTGTTTCTAGTTTTTCACTAGTATGAATAAAGCTGCCATGAACATTTATATGCAAGTATTTTGTGGACGTGTTTTCATTTCTCTTACGTAAGTACCTAGGAATGGACTTGCCGGATCATATGGCATGTGTATCTTTAACTCTGTAAGAAACTGCTAAACTGTTTTCTGTGGTGGTTGGACCATTTTATATTCCCTCCAGCAGTGAGAATTCCACTTTCTTTATATCCTTGTCAGCATTTGGTATTGTCATTTCTTTTTATTTTAGCTATTCTAGTAAATGTGTGGTGCTATTTCATTTTGGTTTGTGTTTCTCTAATAACTAAGGATGAGAGACTTTTCATGTGTTTATTTGCCACTTGTATATCTTCTTTGGTAAGTGTTTACATCTCTTGCCCACTTGCTTTTTTTCCTTTTTGAGGTGGAGTCTCACTCTGCCGTCACAGGGCTGGAGTGCATTGGCGTGATCTCGGCTCACTGCACTGCACCCTCCGCCTCCTGGATTTAAACAATTCTCGTGCCTCAGCCTCCCGAGAGTAGCTGGGACTATAGGTACTCACCACCACGCCTGGCTAATTTTTGTATTTTTAGTAGATACGGGGTTTCACCATGTTGGCAAGGCTGGTCTCAAACTCCTGACCTCAGGTGATCCACCCGCCTTGGCCTCCCAAAGTGCTGGGATTACAGGTGTGAGCCCAGCCCCACTTGTTTGTTTTTTTTTTGTTTGTTTGTTTGTTTGTTTTAAGACAGAGTCTCGTACTGTCGCCTGGGCTGGAGTGCAATGGCGTGATCTTGGCTCACTGCAACCTCCACCTCCCGGGTTCATGCAATTCTCCTGCCTCAGTCTCCCAAGTAGCTGGGATTACAGGCACACACCACCACACCCGGCTAATTTTTTGTATATTTAGTAAGACGGGGTTTCACTGTGTTGGCCAGACTGGTCTCAAACTTCTGACCTCGTGATCCACCCACTTTGGCCTCCCAGAGTCCTGGGATTACAGGAGCCACTACGCCCGGCTCTTTTTTTTCTTTTTTCTTTTTTTTTTGAGACGGAGTTTCACTCTTGTTTCCTAGGCTGGAGTGCAATGGCATGATCTTGGCTCACTGCAACCTCTGTCTCTCTAGTTCAAGCAATTCTTCTGCCTCAGCCTCCCTAGTAGCTGGGATTACAGGCATGCGCCACCACACCCAGCTAATTTTGTATTTTTAGTAGAAACAGGGTTTCTCCATGTTGGTCAGGCTGGTCTTGAACTCCCGACCTCAGGCGATCCGCCTGCCTCAGCCTCCCAAAGTGCCCACTTGTTTTTTTATCAAGTTGTTTGTCTTTATTATTACGTCTTAAGAGTTCTCTCTATAACCTGGACATAAGCCCTTATCCGATTTATATTTTGCAGAAATTTTCTCCGGGTGCTTTCTCATTCTCCTGTCTCTTCTGTTTCTCTTTTTCTTCTGTCTTCTTTTGGATGGATTATTGTTTCCATTCCACCGTTGTCGTCGTGCCCCTACTCCTTACCCCCAGCACTAGTCTTCTTTTCTTTTAGGGTTACCCTAGGAATTAAAGCATGCATACTTCACCTTGCCAAAATCAAAAGTTAATCAGATTTCCATTCTCCTCTTAAACAATATAAGAACCACAGAAAAACTTAAAATTTTATTTATTAAATTTATTTTCCCAATTTGCATGCCATCGTTGTCATGTATATTCTTTTTTCCTTTTAAACCCTATAAAACAAGTTATCGTTATTTTTGGTTTGATTTATTTGGTTTTTTAATTATTATTTTGACAGTAAATATTTGTTCAAACGCACCTATATTTTTTGAGGCAGAGGCTCACTCTGTCACCCAGGCTGGAGTGCAGTGGTGCAGTGTTGGCTCATTGCAACCTCTGCCTCACAGGTTCAAGCAGTTTTTGTACCTCAGCCTCCTGAGTAGCTGGGATTACAAGGGCATGACCACACCCAGCTTTTTCTTTTTTTTTTTTTCTTTTTTTCTTTTTTTTGTATTTTTAGTAAAGATGGAGTTCACCTTGTTGGCCAGGTTGGTCTCGAACTCCTGACCTCAAGTGATCTCCCCACCTCAGCCTCCCAAAGTGCTGGGATTACAGGTGTGAGCCACTGCGCCTGGCCTTAACTCACCTGTATATTTACTGTTAAATTCACTTTTGCATTTCAGACCCTCTATCTGGGATCATTTTCTTTCTGCCTGAAGTATACTATTTATATTTAGAATGTATTTAGTGAAGTTCTTTTGAAGGCAAATATTCTTCATTTTTTTATTTGTCTGAAAATGCTTTATTTTACCCTTATTCCAGTAATAGAATTCTAGCCTAACAGTTACTTTTGCTCAGCCCATTGAAGATAGGTTACTACATCTTTGGGCTTTCACTGTTGTTGATTAAAGTCAGCTATCTGTTTTGTTTCTCTTTTGAAAGCAGCCTGTCTTTTCTCTCTAGGTGCTTTCCAGGTCTTTTTAAAATCTTTGATGTTCCACAGTTTTGGTGATTGGTCTAGGTTTGGATTTTTAAAAATTATTCCTGCGAAGTATTTGTCGGGCTTCATGTAACCTATGAGGTTGGTTGGTTGGTTGGTTGGTTGGTTGGTTGGTTTTCCTATCAGTTTTGGAAAACTCTTAGTGTCTTTTTTCAAAGACTGCATCTCCCCATGCTTTCTCTTCTCCTTCTGTGACCCTGATAAGACATACATCAGGCTTAGTTTTTGATGTCTCTTAAACCTTTCTTTGATTTTTCTGACTCCCTTCTTTTTGTGCTACATTCCAGATAATTTCCTTAACTATCTTTCAGTTCATTGAACCTTTCCATAGCTATATCTAACCTTCTATTAAATATGCCCCATTGACAATGTTTTTAATTTTAATAAATTTTTTATTTCCATATATTTTTTAAATCAAATCTGCTTTGACTTTCTTTATGGTTTCTTATTTCCCAAATATACTTGTGAGCTTGTCTTTTATTTCTCTAAAATATATTCAACATGGCATTTTAGAGACTCCATAATCTGAAATGGTGTATTTGGGGTGTAGCCTTGTGGGACCCTAGCTTTATGATAAGGATCTTGGCTGTGTCCATGCAGCCTTGGAAAGCAAAGCTCGAGTTCATCAGGTAGCAAATGTTCTTAGGGTAAAGGCTGTTTGTAATGCCACACTTACCTATCTGGTTTCCCATCTTTATTCAATCTCTGACCAAAGGATTTTCTTTTATTTTACTAGCTCACGAATGCTTTTCAAAAAGATGTTTAACATACTCTTTTTTTCAGAATAATGAGCTGTTTGATTGGGAGAATGGATCTAGGTGTCTAGTCTGCCGTACTACCAGAGGAAGCTGGGATTTCCTTGTTCCATCAGACTTACTCAGACTTTCTTTCTTTTCTTTTCTTTTTTTTTGCTCTGCCTGTGATGCCCATGAGCAGTGTGACTGGGCACCTACATCCAGGGTGGCAAGGGCATGTAGTTTGCTCTTCCAAAGATTAGTTTCTTTTCCAGCTCCTGCCCATTTACAGCTCAGTCTTATGGCAAATGGTGTCATTGGGCTCACATTTTTTCATTTTTCCAAGAGGTGTCCAGTGTATAGAATATCACTTAGAGGGCTAATTGGGTGGGGAAGAAAGATCAAAGGAGTGGAGAGGAAAGGCTGCAGCTGAAGTGATAGGAGCCATTTATTGACAAAAAGATGTGAGTTAGAGATTTGGAAAAGAGTACTCTGTTGTTTCAGCTACATCACATTATATATCTGGTGAACCTTGCTGGCCCATGAAATCCTTTCCATTAGTCAGGGTTCTCTGTGCTTTTGTTCTTGACTACTGCTGTTCTTAGTGCTATTCGGTTTGCTTGTATGTCTCAGTTTCCTTTTCAGAAGGCAGATTGTCGTCTATTTAGGAATGCATTTACTGTAATTGGAGTGTTCTGGCTTGTTTAGTCCCCTCTTCAAATATAAGACTCATATCTTGAAGCTTATGTTCAGAAAATATGCGCGTGTGATCCCTTTGCCCCAAGTGCCAACAGCAGATGTAGCAGTTGACACGCTGCAGGGAATTTCCAACTGCTGGGCAGGTTTCTGAAATCCGGACACGTGCTGTTCACACTTTGGCTTCTGAGGCAAGGATCAGTGGTTGAAAGAGGGGAGGAGCTGGCAGGGGACTGCAGGGAGAAAGATCTTATAATGCCTGCCCAGGGCTTTAGGCTGTGTCAGCTTTCTGCATCTCTTCTCCAGCTGGAGCTGGCAGGGTCGAATAAATCACTGCAGAGTAGTTATGAGCCCAGCTCACCAGGGACTTCTTTGAGGCACACCTGTGACGTCATCCTGTTATCACTGTCTGTTCCACATAACCTCTTTTCACCTCTCCCCTGAGAGAGGGTGATGCCCAGAACTCATGTCAGGGCAATGAGCAGAGGAAAATGTTTCGTAAGTATTATTTTTCAGATGCCTGCTAGGGATACAGTTGTAGGCCATTGACACATTCTTCAATATTCCTCATTGGAAGAGAAAACCTGTGTTTGCAAACATGGCCTGAATACCCCTTGTGGATAAAACTTCTTTTTAAACTTGGAAAGAAAGTCTTGAAACTCCTAAGTGGTCTCTTTTTGTACCCCTTACCTCTCTCGTTCCTTCCCAAACATGCACACACAGACACATTACATACAGAGTCTGCTGTGTTCAAAATCCTTCACTGACTTCCCATTTCACTCAGTGTAAAAGCCACATTATTTACAAGGCCTTCATATATGGACCTCTTCTCCTGCCCCCCCCCCCCCCCCCCGCCCCCGCATTGCCTCTCTCTGAGCTCATTCACGACTGTTCTCCCCATGGCTTGGTTACTCTGCTTCAGCCACACTACCCTTCTTGCAAGTTCTCTGCTAAGCTGGGGACTCTCCCACCTTTGGCCCTTCGCATTAGCTGTTTTCTCTGTTTGGAATGTTCTGCATCCAGCCATCTGTCTGGTGAATACCTCGCCTCCTATAAGTCTTTGCTTAATGTTACTTCTGTGAGACCTGCCCCAACCATCCTATTTAACACTGCTGCATTCTACTCCAAACCTGCACTCTTTATCTTCCAATTCTATTGATTTATTTTCTAAATACTAGATAATTAATGTGTATATGTTTATTATTTATTTTCCTCTACTATTCTGCAAGAATGTAAGCTCCCTGCTTATAGGGGTCTCTGGTCTGTTTTATCCACTGATACATTGTGAACATCTAAAACAGTCCCTGACCTGTTGTAACTTCTCAGTAAACATGCGTTATATCAAGTTCAAGTCAAAGAATAATTTGAGGCCAGGTGCCGTGGCCGACGTCTGTAATCCCAGCTCTTTGGGAGGCCAGTGCAGGTGGATCACTTGAGCTCAGGAATTCAAGACCAGCCTGGCCAACATGGCGAAACCCTGTCTTTACTAAAAAATACAAAAATTAGCCAGGCATGGTAGTAATCCCAGCTACTTGGGAGGCTGAGGCAGGAGACTGGCGTTAACCCGGGAGGTGGAGCTTGCAGTGAGCCGAGATCACCCCATTGCACTCCAGCCTGGGCAACATTGCAAGACTCCGTCTCAAAAAAAAGAATAATCTGTCAGCAGGTCAGCCTGGACAATGAAGATTGAATGGCAAGGGCAGGGGCATCTGTTAACTAGGTTACTGCTCATAATCTTACTGTCTTTCCTTGTTTTTTGTTAAGGTGACTTTCTTGAAAGCATAATTTCCAAATGCATATTTTACATCTGGCATTAAAGTAAAATCCATTAAATGTGCTTTGGTATCTACTGTTGTATTAATCCTTTCTCATACTGCCATAAAGACATACCTGAGGCTGGGTAATTTATAAAGAAAAGAAGTTTAATTGGCTCATAGTTCCACAGGCTGTACAGGAAACATGGCTAGGGAGGCCTCAGGAGAATCACAATCATGGTGGAAGGCAAAGAGGAAGGAGGCACGTCTTCCATGGCTGGAGCAGGAGGAAGAGAGTGAAGGGGGAGGGGCTACAGACTTTAAAACAACCAGATGTCCCGAGAGCTCCATCAGGAGATAGCACCAGGAGGATGGTGCTAAACCATCAGAAACCACCCCAGGATGCAGTCACCTCCTACCAGGCCCCACCTCCAGCACTGGAAATTACAATTCATCATGAGATTTGAGTGGAGACACAATCCAAACCATATCAGCTCTTAACCCTGGAGTAAATATCATTGGGGCTCTGGAAAGTAAATTTCTATAGAACAGCGTAAGTTCAGTCCTTTCTGGTCTCTTGAATCTTTCATCTTTTACTCTCTGTCCTTTCTTCCTGACTAGAAATACTTTTTTATTTCCCTACTCATATATCATATTTTTACATTCACCTAACTGGAGCAATTCTGTCCTATTTATGAAAACTAAATGATTTTTTTTAAAGGATTTAACATTTTGGGTTTCATTGAAAGTACTAAAAAAGGTAAAGTAGAAACCAACTTCTGGCAGTGACATTCTTTCCTATACGATGTATAAATATTCAAGGAGTTTTTACACAGTTGAAAAGATACTGACTATACAATGTTTGATTCTACTATTTTTACTTACAAGTATACAAAGCTATAAAATTCTTTGTAAACATTTGTAATTTACATACAAATAATAGTAATGGCAAAAAGTGCAATTACTTTTGTACCAACCTAGTATAAACTGAATCATGTTCTCATATGAATGTTTTTATTGTTATGTATATTCACTGTGTTGCCCAGGCTGGAGTACAGTGGCATGATCATAGCTCACTGCAGCCTCGAACTCTTGGGCTCAAGTGATCCTCCTGTCTCAGCCTCCCAAGTAGCTGGGACTACAAGCGCATGCCACTACGCTCAGCTAATTTTTTATTTTTTGTGGAGACAGGGTCTCACTGTGTTGCCCAAGCTAGTCTCAAACTCCTGGGTCCAAGTGATCCTCCTTCCTCGGCCTCCCAAAGTCTTGGGATTACAGGCATGAGCCGCTGAGCTTGGCTTCACATGAATATGTTAACTTTCATTTAATCATTACCCTCTTTTTGAACATTTTCTTCTCAGGTTTCTAGTATTATAAATAAAGCTGTAATTAACATCTCTGTACATAAAATTTTTGTCTGCGTTTCATGTTGTTTTATTAGAATAGGCCAAGCGTGGTGGCTCATGCCTGTAATCATGCAGGCAGATCACTTGAGCCCAGGAGTTTGAGACCAGCCTGGGTAACATGGCAAAACCCCATCTCTACAAAAAAATACAAAAATTAGCTGGATGTGGTGGTACATGTCTGTAGTCCCAGCTACTTGGGAAAATTATACGGGAGAATGGCTTAAGCCCAGGGGTTGGAGGTTGCAGTGAGACGAGATCATGCCATTGCATTCCAGCCTAGGAAACACAGCCAGACCCTGTCTCAAATAAATAAATAAATACTATATTTTTAGAAGTTTGGTTGTTGGGTGAAGGGGTTTTGGCATCTTAATACTTTTGATACATGATGCTAGATTATTTTTTCTTTTTTCTTTTTCTTTTCTTTTTTTTTTTTTTTTTTGATAAAGGGTCTTGTTCTGTGTCACCTAGGCTGGAGTGCAGTGGTGTGGTCATAGTTCATTGCATTCACTGCAGCCTCAAGCTTCTTCTTAGGCTCAAGCAGTCCTCCCATCTCAGCCTCCCAGGTAGATGGGACTACAGGCACGTGCTACCACGCCCATCTGATTTTCAAATATTTTGCAGAGATGAAGCCTCACTATATTGCCCAGGCTGGCCTCAAACTCCTGGGCTCAAGCAGTCCTCTCACCTTGGCCTCTCAAAATGCGCTGGGATTACAGGCATGAGCCACTGCACCCGACCTAGGTTACTTTTTGAAGAAGGTGTATCAGCTTACACTCTTAGCAGTGTTTGAGAATGTCCAGCAACCACCTTCCTGTAGACATTAAGCATTTTATTTATCTTATTTTGTTTTTTATTTTTGAGGCAGAGTCTCGCTCTGCCGCCCAGGCTGGAGTGTGTTGGCGCGATCTCGGCTCACTGCAACCTCCACCTCCCAGGTTCAAGCTATTCTCCTGCCTCAGCCTCCGATGTAGCTGGGACTACAGGTGCCCGCCACCACGCGTGGCTAATTTTTGGATTTTTAGCAGAGATGGGGCTTTGTCTTGTTGGCCAGGCTGGTCTCAAACTCCTGACCTCAGGGGATCCACCCACCTCCGCCTCCCAAAGTGCGGGGATTACAGGCATGAGCCACCGTGCCTGGCTGCATTAAGCATTTTAAATTTTTTACAGTCTTTGGCACAATGTAGGCCTTCATGTATTTGTTGAATAAATGGCAGAATAAAACCTGTCCTTTTAAAAAATAGACTTTACATTTTAAAGCAGTTTTGTGTTCACATCAAGATTGAACAGAATATACATAAAATTCCCATGTACCTCTTGTCTCCCACAACATAAAAACTTCTCCGCTATCAATATCCCACACCAGAGTGGGACATTTGTTACAGTCAGTGAACCTGTATTGACACATCATCACCCAAAGTTCGTAGTTTACATTAGGGTTCACTCTCGGTGTTGTGCATTCTGTGGGTAACTAGCTTATTTTTATACATCACTCTGAGTGAGTAAGTTTGGAGTCATCATGGACTACATTGTCAGGGTTAAATCTTTCACCTCACCTCAGGTGATGACATGCCAGCACCTCAGGTGATGAGTAGCTCAAGCTTGGAAGGTTGGCATGGGTATGTAGGTGAGTAGTCTTGTTGGTTTGCCATTACAGGGAGGAAAGAATGTGGTTTCCTTATTTGGTTATCTTTTTTTTTGAGACGGAGTCTCGGTCTGTCGCTCAGGCTGGAGTGCAGTGGTGCGATCTAGGCTCACTGCAAGCTCTGCCCCTGGGTCCACGCCATTCTCCTGTCTCAGCCTTCGAGTAGCTGGGCTACAGGCGCCCGCCACCGTGTCCGGCTAATTTTTTGTATTTTTAGTAGAGACGGGATTTCACCGTGTTAGCCAGGATGGTCTCGATCTCCTGGCCTCGTGATCTGCCCACCTCAGCCTCCCAAAGTGCTGGGATTACAGGTGTGAGCCACCGCGCCTGGCCTATTTGGTTATCTTATTTTTTTACTAACGAATGAATTGTCTGCACCATAACAGAATGTTATGGGAGAAGCACATCATTCTTTTGGAGTAAAAGCTCTTGGATTAAACCTTCTATTGAGCTGAACAGCAAGAGAGTAGGCTGTCTGTGGGGGCTCAGGGTGCCATACTCAGCCAGACATTTAAACATTTAAATACAGGTGTTACCCATCTCTGATGGTCCTTTTCATTGTTTTTTTTTTTGTTTTTGTTTTTGTTTTTTGAGACCGAGTCTCGCTGTGTCGCCCAAGCTGGAGTGTGGTGGCACAATCTCAGCTCACTGCAACCTCTGCATCCCGGGTTCAAGCGATTCTCCTGTCTCGCCCTCCCGAGTAGCTGGGACTACAGGTGTGCGCCACCACACCCGGCTGATTTTTTTTATTTTTAGTAGAGACGGGGTTTCACCATGTTGGCCAGGATCGTCTCGATCTCCTGACCTTGTTATCTGCCCGCCTCGGCCTCCCAAAGTGCCAGGATTGCAGGCGTGAGCCACCGTGCCCGGCGGTCCTTTTCATTGTTTATTCTTTGGCTCTGGAAGTACTGTGGAAGGTGGCTGAGGGGAGCCAGTGCACTTGGCTGTCTTGGGCTCTAGGTGATGTGCAGGAGGATGGTAGAGGGTAATGAGATATTTTTAAATTTCTTTGCTTTAAAGAGTTCAGAGAGAAGTGTAAAGATGGAATAGAAAAATCCTGCCCAGTTTAGAGTTGGACCATGACTCTTCTGTTTTCTGGTGGTTGGGAGTGGTCAGCTGCCAAAAATGTGATCTCTGCTTTTCCTGAAGACCGTGTGGCTTCATGGTTATGAACTTTGCAATTGATCACATTTTGGTAAAATAATATATATTATACATATATTAATTTTAATAGACTGATGGATATCCATCAAAACTTACCCATGATTCTCTAAGATGGTAGAATTAAACATGTTTTAAATTTTCTTTTTTCTCTGTATTTTTGTAGTTTTCTGAAATTATCACAATACTTTAGTAATAATGTATTGTGTAAATGTATTTTTAAAAATTATAATGATAAAAAGAAATATTTGAAATTAGATAAAACTAGGTTCTAATTCTGATTGTTTACTTGCTGTGTTATGCAAATTACTTAACCATTTCCAAACCTGTTTCTACGTCCAGTACCTTGTGGATGGAATACATTTAATAAATGTTTGTTGAATTAAACTTTCCTGCCATAATGTGTTCGCCACTGATTGCCAGTGTTTCTCCCCTTCCCATAAAGGAAGATTCTGTTTCTTATTTTGAACTTGAATTTCAAAAGAAGCAACTTAGGTTTTGAGGGTATACCAGTTGTCTTGTTTTTTTTTGACATTTTGACATTACTGATTCTTCTAACTCTTCCTGCATTCCAGAAGAACTAACAACCTCATAGATCAATTAGGGAATATTTAGCTCATCTTGAAAATGGAATTATTTTAGCTTCATAAAATGCATAAATCCCTCAACTAGAGTATGTCTCCATGGGGACAAGAGACTATATAATATTTTAGCAAATTCCTAACAATGTTCAAGGCTAACTCCAAAATTAGATGCTTATTCTCACAAAAAAGGGCCAGAAATTTTGAAAAAGTTAGGTGCCTAATCAGTGATTGATTGATTGATTTTCTAAGGTCTGAAAATGTATAAAGAGTTTAGGCAAATAAGAAATTAACAGATTGTTGATTTAAAAAAATTATGTCTTATAGGTAAGTATTTGTGCCTTGCAAAATGTTAATACCTTAGAATTATATTTTTAAAAAATTCTGTAAGACTTCCATGATGATGAAGTCATCAGAATCCCTTTGAGATGGTAATGTTACAGTAGACTGCTTTGAGAAATCACGGTTTAAATCTTCAGCCTACTTTTTCCCCCCCTTTTCTTAGCCCCAAACTGTGGGGACCTCTCTCTCTCCCTCTGAAGACAGTAGAAAGCCAAATCTGTAAAAAAAATTCCTATTACCTCACTAATGCTCTTGACCCCATTCCTTGGATACCTTGGTTGGTCCCTTCCAAGGGAGATTGGGGTAGCTGCTTTACCATCGTGGTACCTGCCATCTGAGTTTCCACCTTGCCCGAGATCCCTGAAGGCCAAAAATTTCTGCCTACTGGGAAGAGGCAGAAATACCTCTATGTGTGCGCTGTTTCTTTAAAAGAAAGTGTAGCGGAAGTGATGCTGCGGGGAACATCTGCACTCAGGGCTGAGGGAGAGCGCGAGATGCACTGCAGCTGGTGTAAGGCCCTGGCAGGCTGAGGCGCTGCTGTCTATAGGGGTTTACTTCTGTCTGCATTGAAACATGGCTTGGGAAGGGGTTGGTGGCCTGCTGCCAGCCTCGGTTAGCCTGCCCTTCTCTTTCCTCTTTCCTCCTCGCCGCCCCCCACCCACCCTCACTCCCCTCCCTCATGCTTTAAAGTCGCATTTCCAGGCCAGACGTAGAATTAATCTCTGGGCACTTCACATTGCTGGCAGCTGAAAGCAGGATGTGGGATCTTTTTTTCTCTCTCTTTCTCTCTCTGCGTCTTGGCTGACTTTTTTACCTCTCGAAGAATTTGGAAGGCCGTGAGATCCCCCCCCACACACACAAGTACTGTGGAGTTTTTCAGCACGCTGATCACCCTGCTGCGGCTTCACCCTAATAGACTTCATATGTTGATGCAGTTGACATCAGTATCAAACTATTTTACATGTGATCTGGTGTATTTCCTGAGGAAATCTGCAAGATATTTATTAAGAACTAATAAAATAAACCTCTCCATGAGTTTTTAGGTAGTTTTCAATTTTTCATGTCTGTCTCGTTTCCTCTTATCAATGAGTTGCTATTTTCTCTCTCTACTCTGACCATCGCAAAAGGAAACAAAAATAAATGTTTTAAACTGTTCCTGAAGGGACAGAGAGAGAATAGTTCTGCCATGATGTATCAGCCGGGACTGTATTTTTAGTGCAGCATTGTAGAAACTAAAAATATCCTGTTATAGTAGATCCTTTTTATAGGTCTGTGTGTGTGTGTGCGCGCGCGTGTGTGTGTGTTTATAATGTACGCACAAGTGCCTTTGTGCATCAGCAGCCACTCTTCACATTACAGCTGGACTCCATTAGTCCTTGAAAATTAATGTAATCCTAGTTAAGAAAAAAATTAATTACTGTACCAGAGCTGTGTTTTATCCAAAGCTAGTGTTAGCTCCCTAGCTGGCAGCTTAGTTTGAGAGGCTCCAGGGCCCCGTGGAGTTGTGGCTTTGGTATCGCAGCATTGGCTGCTGTGTTTTTCCTGTCGAGAGCATTCCTCAGTTCTTTAGGGCTAGACATGTGGCATGCAGAAAGTAACCACAGACCCCTCTGCCTCAGTGAAATATTATGTTCCAGTCTGGTCATCCCCCAAAATGGTGTCCGTCACAGGTTTCACTCACCTGCCATAGCAGGTTTTCTTATCAGGTTTCTTTCCAAGAGAGCTACTTCGACAGCGGTATCTCTGTTCATGTTCTTGAGAGGAGAAATAACATTTATCAAAGTCCAGGAGACACATGGAATTTAACCGGGAGGATTTTGCATGGACAATTAAGAATGACAGTCACATTTTGCCCTTACTTTTTGTTTAAGGATTTGACTAGTTTGTTTAATATACACCTTTTATTATAAATGAGTGTGTCAGCGTTGACTGCCGGTTTCTAGTCAGACTTCTCAGCACCAGCCCTGGGTGAGGGGCTGACTGGCTCAGCATGTGAGTAACGTCTCCAGCTTTGTCATCAGTGTTCTGGGAAGAGATACGGGGCACAGCCGAGAAGCCGTTGCCGTCCACCTCGCCTTCACTCTGCAGCTCTTGTGCAATTGCCTGCTCTGTTGTTGTTTGTTTTTCTTCTTCGGGAGCCTGGATTGGGGTGGGGGGGATTGAGAGTGGGGTAGGTAGGAAGATTGCTGTTTCTTTGCTGGTCAGACTCTCCAGGCTCTCTGCGGAGAGTCCAGGCAGGATCTGTCTGACTTGGATTGCAGTTCTCTTTTTCTGCTGAGCTGGGGTGTGGGCAGCCTAGGCCTGTGTAACTCGTGACAGGCCTCCCAAAGTGCCATGATGGCATGGATCCTCGTGGAGCTGTTGAGAACAAAAACAGGGTTAGTGACCTTTTGTTTCTTTTTGGGCATGGGTTCTGAGACTTATCTCTGGGCCTTATGTTCCTGCTAGTGACTCTAGGTCCCCCGGTCCTCTCCCCATCATCCCCTGGCTGACAAATGGTTGAACTCTCAGCTTCCTGTACTTGATCCCCAAACAGTGTAGTTCAGTAAAAGTAGTAATTAGGGCTTTTACAAATTTATTTTATTAGTGAAGAGAGTTGGTAGGTAATGGGCTGTAATTCTAACACAGCCAGTTTGGAGATTAATAAAAAATTTTAAAAGAGCAGTTTTTACCAGAGGCAGTGGGCCCGTTATTTCAAGTTCTCGGCTGAGCCGAAATCAGAGTGGGGTGGGATCCGTGGTAGACTTTGTTGCTGGGAGGATGCAAAGCCACGTTCCTTGTTGTTACAGTCTGTGCAGTGCCCATCCTTGAGGGTGTTTTACCCTGGCATTGGAAAAAAGGAAACCTTGTTTTCCAAGAACTCTGCTCTCTCTCAGCTTGATAAGCATTTAAAAATAAAAGCTGCACAATTGAAATTGGCAGTGCATCCTCATTCTTTTGTCTCTCTGTTTATTTTTTTCCCTCATCCCTCAACATGTGTGCTACAGCCCATGGTTATTACACCCTCAAGAATGATGGCCTGGAACTCAGCAAACTCGCACCAACGTCTGCCCGCCCTGCATTCTGTTGTTTGAAGCTGGCTGCGGCATCAGGGCCTAGCGCTGAGAGGCCGGGTGGATCAGCCTCCACAGCTCCATCTGTGGCACATTTCCCTTCTCTGAAGCTGCTGCTTGGAATTTTGAGCTTCTCCAGAATCCTGATTGTCAGCTCAATCTTTCTTGTTAGTTTTTGTAGTTAACTTAATTGATTTGTTTACCTCTCCATTGGAGGAGCTCAAAAAGAAAGTGCTTTGGCACTCAGCAGAGCAGTTCTGCCTCTTGAAAAGATTCTTCTGAGGTAGAGTTTTATAATACTGACCCAGAGAAGAAAAAAGATCCTATGGTTTAGGCCAGGGTGACTGTAAGTCCTGGTTTGCCCAGGGATGGATCCTATTTATGAATTACTCATAGCACACCCCTTCACTCTCGGAAGTATCCCAGTTTAGGCGATAAATTTTAGCATCATGCTAGCTTAGATGAATTCAGCAAGAAATAACAGATAACCCACTCACTACAAACTGTTAATTCTTTGTCTAGAAATGTAATGGCTTCGTGAGGCAGCGCCAAACCCTGCCCTGAGCATTGCATGCAGATTCCACTGGAGTCATGCACATGTGACCTCAGAAAGCATTGCTGTGTTTCTGGCTCTGTGAGTGTGGACTGGCCTTCCCGCTTGAGTAGGTCCCGGTTAAGCCAATTTTGAAACATGTCACTTATTTGAGCATTCCTGGTTATCACTGCCTAGTTGGTTGAGTCAGAACCTGGAGTTAGTTTGGTAGGGTGTGGTTTCAGGTTTGCAGACATCCCCGGTTGATGCCTATGAAGGGTTGGTGCCTGATGTAACTGAATAGGGTGCTACTTCAGGTTAGTAGTCCTTGTTTTCTCTTGACTGGTTGGACTGAACCTGGTATTACTGTTTACCAAAGAATATTTTTGGTTTGAAAACTGAAGGTCAGCAGTTCGCAAGTGCCGAACGTAAAGCCAACTCTGTGGTTTGTCTTGTGCCACTGGGCCAGCAGCACTGCAGTCCTGATCGATTGATCTGCAGCAATATAAAACCACGAACAGCAACTGCCAGACAAAACTCCATCTCACCCCATTTCCCTGTCCAACCTGTCTCTCTGCCCAGATCCCCTTTCTTTTTCCTCGTATGTCTGTCTCACTCTTGCTTATGTATTTCACTTTTTTGGGTCTATCTTTTTCCATCTCCCTGTCTCTTTCCATAACAGTTTTAATAATGTTTTAGTTAGTTCCAGCCTTTTCGCTGAATGGATCCCATTGGAAAATGCATTTGAAAGGAAACAGTTATACACTTCCCTTCCTTTGAAACTCTGTTGGCACCTTTTCCAGTGCAGTAAACCATACAACATGTATTTTCAAAGTTTCCAAACAGACACGCTGGCATTAAATTTATGAAAAAATATTCAGCTATATGGTAACTGTGACTTTCAGAGATGCTGATCAGATTTGAAATTGGTACTGACTTCTGGAGCTCCAGCAGGTTTTCAGATCTCTGTGGGAAATATAACCAAACTGGCTCTTGGGGAGTCTGTGATGCTTGGAGCCTTGGCTTTTGATTGGCAGGTTGGGCAGGAAGAGTTGGAGCGAGAGATGTGGATGTGGGGATCCCCAGCCACACCCAGAGGGAAACAGGGAAGGTCAGTGAGTCAGTGAAGAATATGGCATAGCCGTGTTGGGCACAGTAACAGAATGTATATTCCTTCTATGTGTCTATGCATAGAAGGTAAACTACTTTCTGTTTATTCCAGCCAAGACTGAAGGTCAAAGAACGCCCTTTTTTTTTTTTTTTTTAATTAGATGGAGTCTCGCTCTGTCTCCCAGGCTGGAGTGCCCTGGCACGATCTCGGCTCACTGCAAGCTCCACATCCCGGGTTCACGCCATTCTCCTGCCTCAGCCTCCCGAGTAGCTGAGACTACAGGCGCCCACCACCACGCCCGGCTAATTTTTTGTGTTTTTAGTAGAGACGGGGTTTCACCGTGTTAGCTAGGATGGTCTCGATCCCCTGACCTCATGATCCGCCTGCCTTGGCCTCCCAAAGTGCTGGGATTACAGGCGTGAGCCACCGCGCCTGGCCCAAATAACACCTTTTTGTTATTTTCTTTAGGGTGCCAAGGCTAAGAAGAGTTATTTATTTTCCTTCAAGTCAGTAATGATGTTGCTATTGTTAAAAATGTTTACCTCCCAAAAAATGTTCTGAAGCAAAAATATATATATGTATTAGAATTTGTCTATGTATTTTTTCTTATTTTTTATGATTGTTAACTTCTTTTTTTCTTTCACCTTTGAACTGTTGTCCAGTCTAAGACATCCTGTTATAGCATGTTCTATGTATCTTTTTTCTATTTTTTTTTTTTTAATAAAATCCAGCTCCTCCAGGAAGTTCTATGTATTTGAAAGTCCATCGGTTTGACTGAGGTTGGAATTTGGTAGTCAAGCATGGTGATCCTTCTCAAGTACCCCGGCAGTTTGTTCAGGAGATCCTTGGGAATGCTCTTGAAAGAAGCCTTTCAGAAGGGGATTTCTTCCAGATTGCTCAAGCAGAAGCTAATCTGTGTCTTGGCTTACCTAGGTGTAAAAGCTGAGCATCCTGCAGGTCATGTATCCCACTCAGTTAGTTAACAAGGGTTTGTTAAGCACTCATTATGTGTCTTTCTTCTTAGCTCTTAGCTTGCTTTTTTTTTTATTTTATTTTTTTTTAAAGCTTTTGCCTTTGTTGGCTGCAGACAGCATTTCCAGAAATGCTGTATCTGTTTTCTCTCGGTTTGCTCATCCTCTCTGCCTGTTTCTTGGGTTTCCTCTTTCTCGTGCAGCATCCAGTATATCAGCATTAACTAAAGATACTACGTTTGCCCTCCTCTTTCTCTTTCCCCATTGGTGTATTGTAAAATCTTGTCGTTTCAACTGTCATCTCTGTGCACCCTCGCAAAATTTCTTTACTGCCCTGATCTTTTTCATGAACTTTGGCCCACATTTCTAACTTTTTGTTCTATATTTTCACCTGGAATCGCAAGTTTATTCAAAATTGACTCATCCATAGCTGGTTTGCAGTAATGCACACCAGTAGTCCCAGCTACTCAAGAGGCTGAGGAAAGAAGATCGCTTGAGCCCAGAAGTTTGAGGCCAAACTGGGCAACATAATGAGACCCCATCTCTTAAAAAAAAAAAAAAAAGAAAAGAAAAGAAAACGGTTCATCCTCTCCCTCACTTGTCAAGTTCCCCCCAGGAAGCAGACTGTGAAGATGGATATTTGCATGCAGGAAGCTGGATTGGGGCAGAGGGAGAAATTGAACTGTGTTGCAGCTATAACAAAGGGCTTACCCAGTCCAGCAAGGAGCTCTGGACCTAGGCTAACCTTTCCAAGTACTCCCAAATTGGGTCAAAGGGGCTGAGTCTTTATACCCCCTCTCTCTCCCCACCAAGTAGTTGGATGTAGGTTACCTGGGAAGGTGCGGTGATTTGGGGGAAGTGCCTTTCTTTAGCTGAGATCAAGTCTCAGTGAAGGTCTCAGTGAAGGCCTCTTTCTGTACCTGTTTTCTGTGTATTGCTTGCCTCTCTGACCCTCTTCCCTGCCTGGCATATAGTAAGGGTTCAGTAAATGGTAGCTTTAATTGTTGTGTCACTTTTGTATACATATATTTTTACAAATAGAGCTATCTTGGCTGGGCACGGTGCCTCACGCCTGTAATCCCAGCACTTTGGGAGGCTAAGGCAGGTGGGTCATTAAGGTCAGGAGTTCGAGACCAGGCTGGCCAACATGGTGAAACTCCTTCTCTACTAAAAATACAAAAATTTAGATTGGGTGCAGTGGCTCATGCCTGTAATCCTAGCAGTTTGGGAGGCCAAGGTGGGCAGATCACGTGAGGCCAGGAGTTCAAGACCAGCCTGGCCAACATGGTGAAACCCCATCTCTACTAAAAATACAAAAGTTAGCCGGGGCGTGGTGACACACACCTGTAGTCCCAGCTACTCAGGAGGCTGAGGCAGGAGAATCGCTTGAACCTGGGAGGTGGAGGTTGCAGAGCCGAGATCGTGCTACTGCACTCTGGCCTGGGCAACAGAGCAAGACTCCACCTCAAAAAAAAAATTTTTAGCTGGGCATGGTGGCGTGCACGTGTAATCCCAGCTACTTGGGAGGCTGATCTCTTAAACCCGGGAGACAGAGGTTGCAGTGAGCTGAGATGGCACCATTGCACTCCAGCCTAGGCAGTAGAGGGGAGACTCCATCTCAATACAAAACCAGAAAACAAATAGAGCTGTCTTACATCTTACTCTCTTGTTTTGTTTTGTTTTTTTGAGACAAGGTTTCCCTCTGTCATCCAGGTTGGAATGCAGTGGTGTGATCTCGGCTCACTGCAAGCTCCTCCTCCTGGGCTTAACCCATCCTCCTACCTCACCTCCCCAGTATCTGGGACCACAGACACATGCTACCATGCCCAGCTAATTTTGATGGAGTCTCACTTTGTTGCCCAGGCTGGTCTTGAATTCCTGAGCTCAGGCAACCCACCCACTTCAGCCTCCCAAAGTGCTGGGGTTACAGGCATGAGCCACCGCACCTGGACATGTTACGCTTTTTAACGGCTATCTATCCCACGATACGTGTGTACCATAATTTTAGTGGTTTTATATTCATGTTTGCAACCTTTTTCTGTCCAAACTATATCAACAGTGAGTTTCATCATTCACGTCATTTCATGCCTCTTTAAACTTCTTAAGAGATTTTTCACTTTCTTCTTTGATTTATAGTTGATAGCATAAGCAAGTCCTGTTAGACTTCAGCTCCTTGAAGGTCCAGTTTATGTCTGATTCATCTTCAAAAACTAAGTGCCCAGCACAGATCCTTACTTGTAGTAGCCACTTGGTGAATGCTGACTGTGTGAATATAAAGAAACGAATTGGTTCAGCACCATGTGAAGTACCGTTCAGATCAGCTTCAACACCCAGGCGCTGCAGTAAGCACTTCAGATTTGGTGGGGTCTGCGCTGTGGACCCCTCCCTGTTGGGATTTCTAGGCTAGTGGGGCAGCTTGGTGAATTGTAAATCCTGTACGAGGACAGCTGTGAGCCCACATACCTGGTGAGTGTTACAGTATTTCTACAGGTAGAAATACTGCCAGAATCCAGAGGAGGAGGCCTGTAGTACAGGTCTGATAACATGCTGGATCTTGAAGGAACGACTTAGGCAAGGGAGAGGAAAGACGTAAACTGTGGAGAGTGGGGGTAGGAGAATGGCCATTCAGGAGTGTGGAGGCAGGTTTGCTATTTTGTCTCTTGACTGTGGTCATTCACCATCTTTTGATGTGGGACCCTTTATTTATTTATTTATTTTAGAGAGACACGGTCTCCCTCTGTCGCCCAGGCTGGAGTGCGGTGGCACGAACATTGCTCACTGCAGCCTCAAACTCCTGGGCTTAAGCCATCCTCCCACCTCGACCTCCCAAAGTGCTTGGATTACAGGCATGAGCCACCGCACCCGGCAAGTGTGGGGCCCTTTTAAAGAAGCAAGGCAGTGGTCTATAAATAAACCTGTTAGGTCTTTTGAGCCAGGCAGAAGCAGGTCAGTTCTATCCTCTAAATGGAGGAAGTCTCACCAAGAAAATAAAGTTGAACTGGTGCTTTAAAAACTGTCTGTTTGGCAGGGGGTTGCTAATCCCACATTTATGGAGCTTTGTTCTCGCTACCAGTGTTAAAATATAAATGTAGCTTTTAAATCCCCTTGCTTTATAGCATACTGTTATACTTTTTGTTGTAGAAATATTCCAAAAATGTGCCTAAATTAAATTTTACAATCTAGACAATTCCCCCTTTATATCCATACATTTGTGTTTATATATGTATATATTTAATTATAGATATTTTAATATATCATTGATCTTTTTAAAACAATCTTTTCTAGTGTATGTCACTTTCTCATTTATCTAGAGTTTTTCTTTAGGACTTTAGAGTTCTTCATTCCTCATTCTGGATGGATCGTTCATGATCAGCTGTAAAGCATTTTTGCATTTGGGTTTCTCTGACCCTTAGTCAGAGGTGTCATGTACAGAATGTTGACTAAACAACTGCATTAGATAGCAGGTATCCCTCTATTTAAAGAAACCCATCATGGATAATTTTGAAATAAAACTGATCATTTTCTAATTTAGTGGGGTTTTTTGTTTGTTGTGTTTTGTTTTTTTGAGTCACAGTCTTGCTCTGTTGCCCAGGTTGGAGTGCAGTGGCACCATCTCGGCCTCGGCTCACTGCTTCCTGAGTTCAAGTGATTCTCATGCCTCAGTGTCCTGAGTAGCTAGGATTATAGGCATGTACCACCATGCCTGCTATTTTTTTTTTTTTTTTTTTTTTTGGATTTTTAGTAGAGACAAGATTTCACCATGTTGGCCAGCATGGTCTTGAACTGCTGGCCTCAAGTGATCTGCCTGCCCCGGCTTCCCAAAGTGCTGGGATTATAGGCATGAGCCACCGTGCCTGACCTATTGTTATTTTAATTTAGTTTTATAGATCTTTTTAAAAAATATTTTACTTTCATCTTTATTTGTTTTATTATTATCATTATCGTTATTATTATTATTATTTGAGAAGGTGTCTCACTCTGTTGCCCAGGCTGGAGTGTACTGGCACAGTTTCAGTTCACTGTGACCTCCGCCTTCAGGGTTCAAGCAATTCTCCTGCCTCAGCCTTCCAAGTAGCTGGGATTACAGGCATGCACCACCACATCCAGCTAATTTTTGTACTTGTAGTAGAGAGGGGGTTTCACCATGTTGGTCAGGCTGGCCTCTGGTCTTGAACTCCTGACCTCAGGCAATCCGCCTGCCTTGGCCTCCTAAAGTGCTGTGATTACAGGCATGAGCCACTGCTCCCCGCCAAATTTTATTATTTTTTTTAGAGACAAGATCTTGCTTTGTTGCCCAGGCCAGAGTGCAGTGGTGTGATTATAGCTCACCGCAGCCTTGAACTCCTGGGTTCAAGTGATCCTCCTACCTCAGCCTCGTGAGTAGCTGGAACTACAGGAGCATGCCACCTTGCCCAACTAATTTTATTTATTTATTTTTTTTGTAGAGATGGGGTCTCACTATGTTGCCCAGGCTGGACTCAAGTGATTCTCCAGCCTCGGCCTCCCAAAGTGCTGGGGTTAATAGGCATGAGCCACTGCATCTGGCCTATAGAGCTTCTTAAAACACCATGTATCTATGAATATGTAACTTATTCCTATATATGGGTTTTGGAAAAATATTTTTAGAATTTTATATATATATGTATTTTGTTTCACCATATAGATAACTTTAGGATACTATTTTTGGGGTATCTTTTAACAGCATGTGATAAGAGGCTGTGTGTTATAAAAAATATTTTCAGGCTGGGTGCAATTGCTCACGCCTATGATCCCAGCACTTTGGGAGGCCAAGGCGGGTGGATCAGTTGAGGTCAGGAGTTTGAGACCAGCCTGGCCAACATGGTTAAATGCCACCTCTACTAAAAATATAAAAATTAGCCAGACATGGTGGCACACATCTGTAGTCCCAGCTACTCAAGAGGCTGAGGCACGGGAATTGCTTGAGCTCGGGAGGCAGAGGTTGCAGTGAGCTGAGATTGCGGCACTGTACTGCAACCTGGGTGACAGAGCTAGCATCTGTCTGGGAAGAAAAAAAATATATATACACATATATATTTATCTATATATCTGTAAGGTTATTGTTCACTTTTTTCATATACTATCTCTTGCATAGAGTCCATGCTTTAAAAAGTTATTTTAGAACTCAGTGCTGAGAAAAAGGAGTTGTTTTTCCTGAAGAATTGATATACTTATTCCTTTCTAATAATGAGAACTATACAGTTATTGGTGTTTCCTCTTTTGCTTTGCCTGACAGGAAATTTTAAGTCAAATTTTAAGTCCGTTTATGGTAGGCTGTTAATCCATGTGATTGACATTTTTACCTTTTTCTTGGTCTTGATTCTCTAATCTACTTTAATGTTATCTCATTTTATGTGATTTTGCTGTAAGTTGTCACAAATCTTTTGTGAATTGTGGTATAAAAGAGTAAATATAAAAAATTTTAATCTAGTTTAAAATTAGATACAGGCCAGGCGTGGTGGCTCACGCCTGTAATCCCAGCAATTTGGGAGTAATTGCTGTAATCCCAGCAAGATGGACGGATCACTTGAGGTCAGGGGTTCGAGACCAGGCTGGCCAACATGGTGAAACTCAATTTCTACTAAAAATACAAAAATTAGCCAGACATGGTGGTGAGCACCTGTAATCCCAGCTACTTGGGAGGCTGATGCAGGAGAATCGCTTGATCCTGGGACGCGGAGGTTGCAGTGAGCTGAGATCGCGCCATTGCACTCCAGCCTGGGTGACAAAGCGAGACTCAGTCTCAGAAAAAAAACCAAAAACTAGATACATACAGGTTTCAAACAATGTATATTGGTTTCGGTAAGTGTATTGACAAATTGACCAGTCCAGCAACTGAGTACAAATTTGGAAGGGCTATGTTACTATTAAGGCAGAGTTTTACTCTGTTGCCCAGGCTGGAGTGTAGTGGCATGATCTCAGCTCACTGCAACTTTTGCCTCCCAGGCTGAAGCGATCTTCCTTCCTAAGCCTCCTGATTAGCTGGGGTTATAGGCACGTGCCACTACGTCTGGCTCATTTTTGTATTTTTAATAGAGGTGAGGTTTTGCCACGTTGCCTAGGCTGGCCAGGAACTCCTGAGCTTAAGTGATTCGCCTACCTCGCATCCCAAAGTGTTGGAATTATAGGCGTGAGCCACCATGCCCAGCTGGAAGCATTATTATTAAAAGGTATGTCGATTCCACAGCTTCTAGGTCAGGAGACTAGCTGGCACCTTAGCACATTTCTAGTCACCTTCATTCATTGCTGCTTTCTCACTTCCTTCCTTGGCATAACTGCTTTATCTAGCTTATTATTCTCCTGACCTCTACTTTAAAACTAGATGCACCACAGTGGGTGGGGTTGGATGAAGTCATTACGTTCGCAGTTTGGTTTGGACATTGATCATGGATTCTGAGGCCTTGAGGAACCATTTTGGGATGAGTTTCTGGAGCAGAGTCAAATGAATGTGCAGATCTGGATATTCACAAGGTAACCACCAAAAAATTGTGCCTTATCATTGGTCTTATTTTTCAGTACTGACCCCTCAAAGTTTGTTTGATGACTCTAATCTTTACATTCTGGAAGCTTCCTGAAAAAGCTAACTTCTCAGAAGGCCTCCAAGAGGTCCTTTTTATTCTAGGTACCTTTCTGTCTCACCTATCTCGGAATTGTTTTATTTTTGGCGTTGTTTACAAACACTGTCAGACTTTTAAAAATCCTTAGCTGGGCATGGTGGCACATGCCTGTGGTCCCAGTTACTTCAGAGGCTGAGGTGGGAGGATTGCTTGAGCCTGAGAGGTCAAGGCTGTGGTGAGCTATGACCATGCCACTCAACTCCAGCCTGGGCAACAGAGCAAGACCCCATCTCTTAAAAAAAATCGTTCAGGAAGCCACAGAATGAAAAGAAATTGAGTTAATTTGTAAAAATGGAAGCAGAACACTTCCCTGCCCCTCTGCCTGCCCTGTCAATGGAGTTTCTCTGAATCAGGGTGTCTGCAGGCATTATCCCTCCCTAATTTTTACTTCTGGCTCAAAGTGCTCCTGAAGCTTCACGCCAGCAGAGGTGGGTTTCAAGGTGTGTGTCTGAATCAGCAGCCAAATCTCTCCTTGCTTTATTAAAAGTGATATAGCTATATTTCTCCCTCCTGACTGTTAACAGGAAAACTTCCTTCTAGATTGGCTAATGGGTATGCCTCTTAGGAAGCCTCTTTCATATCACTTCTCCTCCACAACCTTAAATAACTTTTGACACAGGACACCTCATATCTGCTGTATGGGATTCCATAGGGACTACCTGTCTTGTTTAATTAAAGACCTGCCATGCTTTTCTACTCTTCCTTTGCTTTTCCTCAAATACTGGGAGAGAGGCAAGCTTCCCAAAACGTCTGGCAAGCAGTGTAGAAGCAGAAACTCTGTCCTGCAAGATCTGCTTGTAACTCTTCCAAATGAGATGCTGGAATGGCAGGCCCTCGTTCTCCTGGGCCCCATTACTAAGGGACTCGTCCAGTGCCAGCATGCTATTCTGCTGGCAGCAGCTCTGTCCTGCCCAAGAGGGGATGTGTATTGAATAACTCTGGGCTCAGACAGTAACCTGTAAGTAACAAAAATATCAATCCAGAGACACAACTAAGGTGGAAATGGCCAAAGTGTGTTTTGACTGGCAACTTACTTATTTATTTATTTTCCAGGAAATCTATTGGAGTACCATTTCTGAAACTGCATGGGTATTTCCTGGAACAAGGGAAGCACCCATTTAGAAGTGTTTTCATTTTTTCTTGTAGAGAGTAGATGGTTTGCTGTCTTTCTTGCCAAGATGTATTGATAGAGCCCCCAGGACATTTCTTGGCCCTGGAGTCCTATATAAAGAAGAAGGGAAAGCCAGGGTGTCCTCTGGAGGGGGCCTAGCACTTCTGGAGATCATTGTCTCACCTGCAGAAGGCAGCAGCTGTGTGGTAATGCTGTACAGAGCTTTGGAATCAACCTGATGGAGGGCGAGAATTCTCTACTCAGCCACTTGCCAGCTGTGTGACCTTGATGACGAAAGTTTACTTACCGTCTCTGAGGTTGAGTTTCTTTGTTCATAAAGCAGGTTATCAGTGCCAATTCTCAGGGGTTTTCTGAGTGTTAGATAAAATACGCAAAACACCTTGTCCAAGGCTTTGTTACCTACTGGGTACTCATGTATGTCTACTTTTCTTTATCAAATTAGCCTCCAGTTATGAACTCTTAACAGTTCAAGTGAAGGGTCAGACTAATGTGTTTCTAAATGTCATTACTCTATTTTTTTTTTTCCTTTTTCAGACACAGTCTTGCTCTATCACCCAGGCTGGAAAGCAGTGATATGTTCTTAGTTCACTGTAGCCTTGAACTTCCGGGCTCAAGTGATCTTCCTGCCTTAGCCTCCTAAATAGCTGAGACTATAGGCACCTGCCACCACTGCAGGCTAATTTTTTATTTTTTTCTGCTAGAGGTAGGGTCTCACTGTGTTGCTCAGGCTGGTCTCAAACTCTTGGGCTCATGTGATCCTCTCCTCTTGGCTTCCCAAAGTGCTAGGATTACAGGTGTGAGTCTGTTTTTGACATTCGAATGATTAAGTAGTTTATTCCTTTTTATTGTTGAATAGTCCTCACTGTGTGGATATACCACAATTTATTTATCCATTCACTTGTTGATGGATATTTGGTGTTTTCTCCTCCAGTTTTTAACCTTCATGAGTAAAACTGCTATGAACATTCTTTGCGTGCATGTATGCTTTCATTTTTAGGGAGTAAATACCTGTGAGTGATATAGCTGGGTCGTTTGGTACTTAACTTTTTTTTTTCCTTTGAGATGGAGTCTCGCTCTCTTGCCCCAGCTGGAGTGCAGCGGCATGATCTCAGCTCACTACAACCTCCACCTTCTGGGTTCAAGCGATTCTCCTGCCTCAGCCTCCCAAGTAGCTGGGATTACAGGCACCTGCCACCATGCCCGGCTGATTTTTGTATTTTTAGTAGAGATGGGGTTTCACCATGTTTGCCAGGCTAGTCTCGAACTCCTGGCCTCAAGTGATCCACCCACCTTGGCCTCCCAAAGTGCTGAGATTACAGCCATGAGCCACCGCACCCAGCCTGGTGTTTAACTTTTTAAGATACTGCCAAAGTGGTTATATTATTTAACTTTTTTTTTTTTTTTTGAATCAAGTCTCACTTTGTCACCCAGGCTGTAGTGCAGTGGCGTGGTCTCGGCTCACTACAACCTCCACCTCCCAGGTTCAAGCTATTCTCCTGCGTAGTTGGCATTACAGTGCCTGCCACCACGCCCAATATTTTTTGTGTTTTTAATAGAGATGGGGTTTCACCATGTTGATCAGGCCAGTCTCGAACTCCTGACCGCAAGCCATCCACACACCTCAGCCTTCTAAAGTGCTGGGGTTACAGGTGTGAGTCACTGTGCCCCGGTCTCATTTAACATTGTTAAAGCAGTGTGTGAGAATTTCAGTTACTTGATATCCTCTCCAATGCTTGTTATTGTTCATCCATCTGTTTTATTATTGCCATGCTGTTGGGTATGGAGTTGTATGTGTGATTTTGATCTGCATTTCCCTAATGATTAGTAATGTTGAGCATCTTTTCATGTACCTACTTGCCATCCATATATCTTCTTTGCCCAATTTTTTATTTATTTTGCTGAGTTGAAAGAGTTCTTTATATACCTCAGTTCTGAGTCCTTTGTCAGATGTATCTTTTACAATTATTTTCTCCCAGTGAGATAATTTTCTGTAGCTTTCCTTTTCATTTTGTCTTTTGAAAAGCAAACATGTTTGATTCTGATAAAATCACCTACTTTTTAGAAAATGTTTGATTTGTAATTACAGATACATTGGCAAAGGGGCTATTTATCAGAGTATTGCAGTTGATGCTGCCAATTAAAAAATAAATAATGGGCCGGGTGTGGTGGTTCACACCTGTAATCCCAGCACTTTGGGAGTTCAAGGCCGGAGGATCACTTGAGTTCAGGAATTTGAGACCAGGAGGTTGGGAGGCCGAGGTGGGAGGATTGCTTGAACCTGGAAAGTTGAGGCTACAGTGAGCTATGATTGCGCCACTGCACTCCACCCTGGGCAACAGAGCGAGAGCCTGTCTCATTCATAAATAAATAAAATTAAATTAAATTGTGTGTATGTGTGTCTGTTTGTATATATCTAGGGCTAGGTGCAGTGGCTCATGCCTCTAATTCTTGCACTTTGGGAGGCTGAGACAGGAGGATCACTTGAGGCCAGGAGTTTGAGACCAGCTTGGTCAACAAAACAAGACCCTGTCTCTACAAAAAGTTTTTTTTTTTTTTCTGTCGTGGGTTTGGGGGAAGGGGAGGGATAGCATTAGGAGATACACCCAATGTAAATGACGAGTTGATGGGTGCAGCACACCAACATGGCACATGTATACATATGTGACAAACCTGCACGTTGTGCACATGTACCCTGGAACTTAGAGTATAATTAAAAAAAATAAGGAATACAGGGCTTAAATTCACGTTTTTAAAAAAGGTATATGCAGGTTGAATCCCTTTTAGTCTCCACTTTTCAGCAAAGTTTACCTAAAATAAAATTCATTTACTGCTGGCACTTAAAAAAAACAAAAAGTTTTTTTTGTCCAGGCACGGTGGCTCACTCCTGTAATCCCAACAGTTTGGGAGGTCGAGGTGGGTGGATCACTTGAGGTCAGGAGTTCAAGACCAGCCTAGCCAACATAGCGAAACCCATCTCTAATAAAAATACAAAAAGTAGCTGGGTGTGGTGGTGGGCACTTGTAATTCCAGCTACTCGGGAGGCTGAGGCAGGAGAATCGCTTGAACCCGGGAGGCAGAGGTTACAGTGAGCTAAGATTGTACCACTACACTCCAGCCTGGGTGACAGAGTGAGACTCCATCTCAAAACAAACAAAAAAAACAAACCTTTGTTTTTTGAGACAGAATCGTGCTCTCTTACCCAAGCTGGAGTGCGGTGGCACAATCTCAGTTCACTGCAACCCCGCCTCCCGGGTTCAAGCGATTCTCCTGCCTCAGCCTCCCAAGTAGCTGGGACTACAGGCACACGCCACCACACCCGGCTAATTTTTGTATTTTTTGTAGAGATGGGGTTTCGCCACGGTGGCCCACAGGCTGGTCTCGAATTCCTGGCCTCAAGTGATCATCCGCCTCAGCCTCTCAAAGCGCTGGGATTACAGGTGTGAGCCACTGTGCCTGGCCTACAAAAATATTTTTTTAAATCAAAATTAAATCTTTTTTATTTTTATTTATTTATTTATTTATTTATTTTTATTTATTTTTTTGAGACAGGGTCTTGGTCTGTCACCCAGGCTGGAGTGCAGTGACATAATCACTCCACAATACTGCAGCCTCAACCTCCTGGGTCTCACACTGTATTGCCTAGGCTGGTCTCGAATTCCTGGGCTCAAGTGATGCTCCCACCTCAGCCTCCCAAAGTGCTGGGATTATAAGCATGAGCCACCATGCCTGGCCAAAAATAAATACCTTAATATCCATCTGATTGATAATCCAAAGCAACACCAAAAATGCCTAAGTAGTTTCCTTTATGAAGAAAACAGTACTCAGACTCATGTTTGAAGCCGCTTTTTCCTCTGACTGCCCTTTCTTGAAGAATGTGCATACCATTGGTTTGAGATGTGTACCTTATTTTTGAGAAGCAAGAACATTTTTTAACTGCTCGCTCAGTTTCTGCAATTCATTCGTCATCTTTCTTCACTTTCTCATCACCTTCATCTTGTGCTGCTTGCTGTGGAATTTACTGATCCAGTGATTCACGGCCTTGACGATGACGTTCTCTTGCTATACTCCTTATTCTTTAGACAGAAGTTCTGTCTTCAGTGAACTTTTCTTTTTTTTTTTTTTTTTTTTTTTTAATTTTATTTTATTTTCCTTCTGGTTGCCCCTGACAGTTTCTTGTGTAAGCTGGTGAGGAGCCGCAACTGGGCATCTCCACCAGCTCAGGCCAGGCAGCAGAAGATGAGAACAAGGGGCTCCAGCATCTGGACAGGGTAATCAGCTACTGTTAATTGAGAAAGTATCCCCCAAGTGACTGAGTAACCCTTTTCTGTGTAAAACTTTCTGGAATGCTGTGTCAGATCTTCTTCGGTTTTACTTGGGTTTACTTTTTTTGTTGTGTTTACTTGTTTAAAGCTTTTTATTTTGAAATAATTATAGATTCACAGGAAGTTGTTTTAAAAATGTACAGAGAGGTCTTATGCACCCTTCACCCGTCCTTCCCCATTTTTCATGTCTTGCATAGCTTTAGTATATATCAACATCGTGAAACTGACATTGGTATCCACTGACTTTAATCAGATTTCACAAGTTATCTTGCACTTGTGTGCGTGTGTGTGTGGGGTTCTGTGCAATTTTATCACACATGTAGCTTCATGTAACTATTACTATAATCAAGATGCAGAACTTTCCCAACACTCAAAGCTCCTTCCTGCTCTATGCTTTAGAACCATCCCTACCGCCTTTCAGCCCCCAATCCTAACCCCTGGCAACCACTAATCTGTTTTCCATCTCTATAAATATATTATTTCAAGAATATTATATAGATGGGATTGTACAGTATATAACCTTTTGAAGCTGGCTTTTCACTAAGCGTAATTTCCTGGAGTCTGTCCAACTCACTGCACGTATTGGTTGTTCATTCCTTTTTATTGCTGAGTAGTATTCCCTGTATTCCCTGGTACGGATATTCCACAGTTGTTTAACCATTCACCTGTGGAAAGACATTTGGGTTGTTTCTAGTTTGGGGCCATTATGAATAAAGCTGCTATGAACATTTATATACTGGTTTTTTTTCTAAACGTAAGTTTTCATTTCTTCAGGATAAAGCCCCAGAGTTCAATTGCTGGATCATATCATAAGTGCATTTTTAGTTTTAGAAGAAACTGCCAAACTATTTTCCAGAGCAGCTATACCATTTTACATTCCATCAGCAACGTACATGTGATCCAATTTCCCAGCATCCTTACCAATATTTGGTGGTGGTACTGTTTTTTATTTTAGCCATTCTGATAGATATGTAATGAGATCTCACTGTAGTTTTATTTTCCATTTCCCTAATGGCTAATTATATTGAACATCTTTGCTTGTGCTTATTTTCTATTTGTATATCCTCTTTGATGAAATATCTGGTTTGTCTTTTTTTTTGCCCATTTTCTAAATGTATTGTTGTTTTCTTACTGTTAAGTTTTGAGAGGTTTTTTGTTTTTTGGTTTGTGTTTATTTTTCTTTATGTGTTGTTTTTTTTGAGACAGGGTCTCTGTCACCCAGGCTGGAGTGCAGCGGCACTGTCACGGGTCACTGCAGCCTTGACCTCCCAGGCTCAAGTGATCCTCCCACTTCTGCCTCCCAAGTAGCTGGGACTACAGGCAAATGTTACCACATCCAGCTAATTAAATTTTTTTTTTTTTAGAGACACAGTCTTGCTATGTTGCCAGGGCTGGTCTCAGACTCCTGGGCTCAAGCAATTCTCCCACCTTGGCCTCCCAGCGTGCTGGAATTATAGGCGTGAGCCACCGCGCCTGGCCAGGTTTTAAGAGTTTTATATGTAATCTGGTTACTAGTTCTTCGGCAGATATGTGGTTTACAAACAGATTTTCCTAGCCTATCATTTGCCTTTTCATCTTTTTACAGGGTCTTTTGCAGTGCAAAAGTTTTTAATTTTTATGAAATCCAGTATATCAGTTTTTCCTTTTATGGATTGTACTTTTGGCATTAAGTCTTAGAACTCTTAGTCCTAGGTCCTGAAGATTTTCTTCCATTTTTTTCTAAGAGTTTTATGGTCCTATGTTTTATATATAAGTCTTCGATCTATTATGAGATAATTTTTGTATAAGTGTGAAAGTTAGGTCAAGGTTTTATTGCTTTGTTTTTTTGCATACAGATGTCTAATTGCTTCAGTACCATTTGTTGAAAAGATATTCCTCCTTTTAATTTTATTTTAGAAGAGGTGGGGTCTTGCTATGTTGTTTACGTTAGTCTCAAACTCCTGATCTCAAGCAGTCCTGCCTTGGTCCCCCAGATTGCTGAGATTATAGGCATGAACCACCATGCCCGGCCCCTTTCTTCATTAACTTAACATCAGGGAGAACGATTTCTCCCGCTTTATTCTTTTTCAGAATTGTTTGAAATGTTCTACATCCTTTGCTTTTCCAGATAAGCTTTAGAATAAGCTTGTCTTTATCTACGTGAAACGTTCCTGAGATTTTGATAGCTGTTGCGTTAAACCTATAGATCTATTGTCTACATAAAACCTTCCTAAGATTTTGATAGCAATTGCGTTAAACAATTAACTGGCATCTCTACAATGCTGAGTTGCTCAGTTCATGAACATGGTAACTCTCCCCAGTTTTTAGGTTGTCTTTTATTTTCTGGGTTTTGTTTTTTTGAGACAGAGTTTGTCACCCAGGCTGAAGCGCAATGACGCATTCTCGGCTCACTGCAACCTCCGCCTCCTGGGTTCAAGTGATTCCCCTGCTCCTGCCTCAGCCTCCCGAGTAGCTGGGATTACAGGCACGCGCCGCCACGCCCAGCTAATTTTTGTATTTTTAGTAGAAACAGGGTTTCACCATGTTGGCCAGGCTGGTCTCGAACTCCTGATCTCAGGTGATCTGCCCGCTTCAGCTTCCTGAAGTGCTGGGTTTACAGGCGTTGAGTCACCATGCCTGGCTTTGTCTTTGATTTTCATCAGCATTTTCAGATTTTTAGCATAGCGTTTCCGTACGTTCTGTTAGACTTATACCTGAATATTTCATTTTCTTTGTCACTATTGTAAACGATGGCATGTTTTTCATTTTGGCTTCCACACAGTCATCATCTCTGAGCTCTTTGTGCAGCACTGTGGTTGGAGTAGTCTGAGCTTTTCATGTTCATAGCAAAGGAGAGAGGAGCAGTGGGAGTGTGACACTTGAGTCACGGGCGTGTGAAAATCAGATATGCAAACAATGTGGGCATGAGAGCAGACAGAACTGGATTCAGATCCCAGCTCTGGCACTTTCTAGCCTTGTGTTATTGGGCAGGTCATTTAGTCTCTCTGAGCCTGTTTCCTCAAATGTCAAAAAGGAGAATAATACTCAGGCAATCCTTTTGTAAAGCTTTGAGATAATATATATAAATATTGTTTGCCTAACATAGGTCTCAAAATGTCTTAGTTATTATGTCTGGCCACAGTGGAATCATGTCATTCATGGTTAGATCCAAAGTGAGAGAGGCAAGTGTGCCTACTATTATGAGCAGCAAATGTTTCTTGAACCTCTCTATGGTGCTGATTTCCAAGGATGTGAAGTCTTGACATAGCTCTTGCCCTCAAGGGGCTTATAATTCTGTTGAGGAAACCTACTGTATGAATAACAATTCCAGGACAAGGTATTGCTTGTTAAGTTCCAAATAGGTGGGCAGACAGTGTGAGTGCATCAAAGAACCTTCTCTGGGTTTTGTTTGCCCTTTTGTACCCTGTCCATTGAGGTGGCTTCTGGATGTTGTTGATGAGAGAATGTGTGGAGGTGGGAGAGGGTGTGTACAGATTTAGGGGAAGGGTGTCATGTGGGAATATGTAATTAATTTTTATACTTTCCCCAGTAAACCATCGACCCTTTTTATGATGTCATGAGGGATTCCTTAATTTTGCAGCTGCTTCCTGATTACGTCAGAGAGGAGCCTGTCACCCCACAGCCTGGAGCTGTACTCGTACAAGAATTGGAAACAAATGAAGTGCCGAATATCTAATGGCTTCCACAGGGAGCACCAGTTCAGACTTCCCAGGCCGCCTCTTGCTAGGTCTTCCTCAAGTATTTCTGACCCCCTGAAGTGTCTTTGTTCTGGAAAGACAGGACTTGGCCCAGAGCCAAGAGGGAGGGAGCCTGGGGACTCCTTGACACATACCTCTCTCCCTCCAGGTGTTTTGCAGTCCTGAGTTTCTTCCCCCTTACTTGGATCTTGTTTGGTGAGTTGTTACTCTTCTTGAGTTTTCAGGATCCTCTGGAACCTGCCGAGAATACACGTGAGAGTCTTTGACCTGCTCCAGCAGTCTTCACCCCTACGTACCCCCTCAACAGCATTATCTCCAGCCTCTTTTGATGTTTCTTTCTTTTTTTTTTTGTTTTGTTTTGTTTTCTTTTCTTTTGGTAGAGACAGGGTCTTACTCTGTTGCTCAGGCTGGTCTTGAACTACTGGGCTCTCAAGCAGTCCTCCTGCCTCAGCATCCCAAAGTGCTGGGATTACAGGCGTAAGCCACCATTCCTGGCCTCTTTTGATTTTCTTTCTGCGGTAATTTTCATATCTGTGCACTGCTTTTCATTCCCTCTTCTACCTCTATTATAAGAAGATGTTACCCTTACTTGGCATTATAAACTTTATGAGTGCTTTACATGTAATTTCGCTTGCTTCAAACAAGTTCATGCTCTCTTAGCTTCCCAACTGGTCTCCCTCATTGTTACCTTTTTCCAGCTACCCTAATTAGTCCTAAATGCTTTAGCTAGATTAATCTTTATAAAATATTCACTCATTGCTTCATCCAAGAACATTGAGTGAGTGCTCCCTCACTGTTGAGTCAAGTTCATGTTCCCTGTTCTGGCATTGCAGGCCCTATACTTTGTGGTTCCAGGTAGAGCACAGCACACACAGTACTTGCGTGCCTCAAGTAGTACATGTGGTCCCCCCTGCATCCACCAACTCCATCATTGTTCATCTCTTCCAGCCCACCTTAGAAATGGTCTCTTCTGGCCGAGCATGGTGGCTCATGCCTGTAATCCCAGCACTTTGGGAGACCGAGGCAGGTGGATCACTTGAGTCCGAGAGTTCGAGACCAGCCTGACCAACATGGTGAAACTGTGCGTGCCTCTAATCCCAGCTACTTGGGAGGCTGAGGCGGAAGAATCGCTTGAACCCAGGAGGCAGAGGTTGCACTGAGCCACAGTTGTACCACTGCACCACTCCAGTCTAGACGACAGAGTGAGAATCTGTCTCAAAAATAAAGGTCTCTACCATGAAACCTTCTCTGTTACATGCTAGCTGAAATGGTTTCCTCTCCCTCTGGTGACAGAAACATCTTACTTCCATCTTCCTTATGATATGTAGTACATTGTCTTGAATTATAGTTACTTGAGTAGGTATGTATTCTTCCTGTCTTCCTTATTAGATTATCTTCTTCTCCCAGACAGGATCCTACTTTCCTTTATATCCTCCACAATTGGGCACTCAAGTGTTTTCGGAATTAATGGGAGAAGTCATTTTGTTAGAAGATTGGGATTTCCTTTGCCCCCATATTTCCCTACTTTCAGAAGAGCTTTAGAAGAAAATCCAAAGGGAACACTGACAGCGAGGGCTCCTAGGGAGGAAATTACCTTCCACCTTCTTCTGTCTTGTCTTGGTGCATTAGGCCGTTCTTGCATTGCTATAGACAAATACCTAAGACTGTATAATTTATAAAGTAAAGAGGTTTCATTGACTTACGGTTCTGCAGGTTGTACAGGAAGCATTTCGGCTTCTAGGGAGGCCTAAGGAAGGCTACAATCATGGCAGAAGGCGAAAGGGGAGCAGGCACTTTACATGGCGAAAGCAGGAGCAAAGAGTGGGGCAGTCCCACCTACTTTTCAAGGACCAGATCTTGCAAGAATTCAGCCACTACCACATAGACAGCACCCAAGCCCTGAGGGATCCACCCTGCCATCCAGACACCTCCCACCAGGCCCCATCTCCAGCAGTGGGGATTACAATTCGACGTGAGATTTGGGTGGGGACAAATATTCCACCATGTCACTTGGCTGTATCAGTTTAGGGAAATGTTATGACTTGCTTTACACTCAGTCAGCCTCTGTTTTGCCATTGTGCATGAATAATTTGCTTGGGTGTATTAGTGCCTGATTCTGCTGACTCATTCGTTCTGCTCCTCAGGGAATAAAATGATGAAAAGACATCTCTGCTTTTGCTCTGAGATTTTGTTTTTGTCTCGTTCCTATACAGCGACTGCTTCCTCTACCTCCTCTTCAGCTAGCAGCTGCCACGGGGAACTCTGTGGCTCAAGCAGCAGCAGTTGAAAGATACTCTCACTGCCCACTTCCTGTAGACAAGGAGGTTTTGGTGGGCTGCTTAGGAACTGTGCCAGCCTTGTGTCTGACTGGTAACTGACTCATGAGAAAAGCAGCCTTATGTCGGAAAGATAAGGGCCAACAAATTGCCTCCAGGTGGTGGTAGTTTGGAGGTGACTGACCATTCATTTCCTTTCTTTGGGAGGAGACAGTGGGGAGGGAATTGGTGAATAAGTGGTCTTGCCTGCGTTTTTCTCCAGCTCTTAGTGATGCAGCCAGGCAGATAGTTGGTTCTCTGGGCTGGAATGGCTCGTGGACCCCAGTGCCCTCAGAATCCCCTCTGCTGCTATCAGAGCATCAGACTTAGGTGTCATCCATCCTGTGTCTTCTCTTCATTACTCTTCTTATGCTCTTGCCAGGAAACTGGCTGTGTGCACCAAGGGAACTCTGATAGTTCCATCGCTGCCAGATTTTTCTGTGACCAACCAAACTCCATCCCACTGGTACTGGTTTCCTTCAAATCTCTCCCTGATGGCAACACTGGAATTGATCAGAAGCAGTGGTTCTGAACCACCATCCCTTGGCTCGGCTTAGAGGGCCCAGGCAGGTGGGCCTGCCTCCCATCCCCTGCTCTTCCCTCTCCGCCCCTCCTGCCTCACTCCCATTTCCTGCAGGAGGATGCTTTGCCATCCTGGAGCTGTCAGGCACAGCTTTGCTTTGGCAGCACCGTCGCACACATACTGGTGGGAGAGGGGACGTGTTTATCACTTTTCCTGGAGATTATCTGTTTAAGCACTTCTCTGACAGTTACAATAACAAGGGCAGTGTGTTGTGTTTCCCAGCAGAAGGACACTTGCTGTTGAAAGATGTATAGCACTAATTAGAAATACATAACATCCGGCCACATGGCAGCCTTCTCCCGGCCGCTCCATTTCCTGATTTCATGCAACTTTGACGACAGTTGGTTTATGTTTTCCATGAATATATTCTCAGAAAAACGAGAAAGTCTCCCTGTTACATAGGAGCAAGAAGAATATTTCTGTCCGAGCCGGTATTTGGCCATAGGAATAATAGGAGCTGTGGTCACCTGCCCACATGTGGGAAGGAGCAGAACCAAGTTCAGACCTCAGGTGACTTTCTTATTAAGAAATATTTCCGTCTGACTTCCTTAGCCAAAACCCTTACCCGAAACCCTTAAGCAAGTCTCTGCTTTTGGAAAGAAGGGGAAAGGCTGTTTCACAGTGTTAATGAGTTCCTCAGCTCCTGTCATGCTCCTGCTACCTGACACAAAGCCAGAGGAACCCAGGCGAATACCAAGGCAAACAATGCCTTTTCCTCCCCCACCCCACATCACTTGTTGGCTTGGCCCAGCCCAACACTAGGGATATATATGGGCATTCATCAGACTAGGGCCAGTTTCCTAGATCTAGCCCCAAAGTGGGTGGACTCTGGGAATCTAGATGCTGTTTTCCTACCCACTTGTGTAACGGTGAATGCTTTCAGGGAGTAGCGTCTTACGGTTTCTAGCCTGTGGAAGCCTACGTGAGGCCAAGAGCAGCCCATGAAGATGCTGTGCACTTAGTGCATGTCTCACTTGAGGCACTGGATCCAAGTTGCCGTGGATACTTGGATAAATAACAATTTTCTTTACCCTATTGAAAGGTCCTACGGTTGCAGAGACCATGTTTTATTTGTAACTGTGTGCTCCATCATACCTAGTACAGAGTCTGGAACATTCTACATGCTCAGTATGTGCTTGAGGTACTACTGAGCCATGGAGAAGGACAGGCCTTCCAGGAGGTGCTCTAGGTAACATGGCCAGTCAGAGGCCTGACCAACACTCAGACATGCTGACCCCCTTGATCGTTTGTAAAATCTCCACCTGCTTGATTACAGCAGAACAGTTACTGCTTAATACTCCGCATCAGATGGACCAGACACATAAGCAGGCAGTGTTATTTCAAGCCTTTCTTCAGGAGGGGGTTAGGGGATGGGGAGTTGAGGTGACATAACCGTCACCAAGGACAGAGCAGTCATGAAGCTGCCTTCTAGCTGCTGCCCTGGGAGGTGGCTGAGCACTTTCAGATCTACACCAAAGAGACTCCAGCTGTTGCTACCTTGCCTGGTCTCCAGACCTTATTGCAGGAGCCTTTAGAAAAGGAGCCAACCTGGAGTCCACGAAGACCGCAGATCCCATTGTTGTTAAGCAGCCATTCTCCCTCTGAGCCCTAGCCCCCACCTTGAACTCTGAGAGACAGTCTAGCTTGTGATTGCCATTTGTCATAAATACAGAACTGGGCTTGGTGAAAGAAACCTCCCCTGTCTTATCCCTGTCCAGGGTCATGGGAGTGTCTTAGTGTAGCCTGTGCTTCATAAAATGCCAGTCTCTTGGAGCCAGGACACCCCCCTCCATCCCTTCTAGCCTTCTGAGTGCAGGTAACTTCTGCTTAGTTGATGAGGAGGCACTAATGTTTACTCAGAGTATCAGCTACCAGGATGTGGCCTCCACTTGTCTTCTCCCAACTCCCTCTTTTCTGGACTTACTCCCTTCTTCCCGGCTCTGTTGCTAGTTAGAGGCAGGATGTTGTCCGGGCGTGGCAATGGCCTGGACTGAGCTGGGCGGTACTGACAGTGCTGCTGCCTATGGGGAGGGTGAAGGGGAGAAGTTGGTAACTTTTCTTGACAACTTACATATCTCCCCCTTTCCTGCTTTCCATCCTCCCCTCTTCTTGGCTCTTGCATGCTTGTTTTCTTTGTAACAGAGGTTTAGGGCCTTAACAGGACAGGAGTGAGACTGGTCTATTCTAATCACATGGATTGTTACCACTTCCTTAACTGCCTGCCACAGTTGAGCTGGAAAGTCAGAGGGTGACATCTGGGACCAGTGGGCATCTGGAAGGTTGGTGGGAAAGCCACAATCAAAGAATTACTACCCTGGATGCTATTCGTTTGTTGGGCCCTTCTGAGCAGCAGCCTGCTCCTTCTTACACCCAGTACTTTCAGAAGTGGGTTGGGGCTGGCTTTGTGTACTCCAATCATACTTGCTCCTGGGGCAAAGATGGTAAGGAATCACTGTGGTTGGGTATTGTCTCCTGGAGTAACAACTTCAATGGGGCCCCATTGACAAGACTGGTGAGCTGATGAGAGGGCTCCCCTTGGCTACTGAGGTTAAAATACAGGCAGGGACAGAGATCAGACATTCAGCTGATTATCCTTTTAACACTTGGAGATTCTGAGAGTTCTCCTGTATTAGAGAGGGAATTCACAGATTAGCTGCTGCCAGAGCTAGTGAGCCTGGCCCCTGATTCTGTCTCCTGTGGGTATGTGGTGTCTCCTCCTCGGAGGCTGTGTGGTGGACTGCTGCCTTCTGTGTGTCACCAGCTCCTCTCGAGTTCAGATGACGTGGCTTTCAGGGAAGGCCAGTGATGAAGAGTAGGTACAGGCAGGCTTTTGGGAGTATGCCACATAGCTCCCACCAAAGAATAATTCTGCCCACCAAAAAGATGGCTCCTTTCGGTGACCTGGAGCCAGAAGGAAGTTAGTTAGCCAGGCTGAAAAAGTGACGGGAAGAGGGTACTGGGATTGGGAGCCAGGTTTATTTTTTAGCGCTAGGGGAAGGAATTTGTGAAAACAAAAGCCAACACTGATTAAGTGCTTATTATGTGCCAAGCACTGTTCTGCATAAAATTAACTCATTCCATGAAAGTAGGTTATTTGTGTCATGTGTGTTTTCTTAGGAGGAGGGACATGGAGGAAGTAAGGATGGGACTAAAGGTTGGTGATTCAAGAAGATCATTTTTAGACGAGATCGGGCGCGTTCAGGGTGGTATGGCAGTAGACAGAAGATCATTTTTAAATGTGTATTTTTCCAATCTTAACTGATGACTGTGCTCCTGTTAGTTATACACTAGAGAGACTGAGTTAATTAAATCTGAGTTCTTGTTACGATGGCTTTACATTATCAGTAGGCAGCTAAAGGCAGAGACCATGCAGCTCCAGCTCAGACTGCCCTTCCTGAGGTAACCGTTCCTGGGAAAGTGATGTAGAATTGACAGAGGTGACCCTTATCATCTTATCAAACACATATCCATATGCCAGACCTCATGGTAAGTGCTTCACATGCATTTTCTACTTGGCCTTATGACCACTCTGAGAGAGGGAATATCACTAGCCCTAGTCTTCAGTGAGGAAAAGGAAGCTCGGTAACGTGGCCAGTGATGTGCATCTTGTCCGCCTGGGGCGCTGAGAGTTTCATTTGCCTGTCCGCAGACTGCTTCTCGGAGGAGTGCCGCTCTGTGATCCAGGAACAAGCCGCAGCTCTGGGCTTGGCCATGTTTTCTCTACTGGTCCGCCGCTGCACCTGCTTACTTAAGGAGTCCGCCAAAGGTAAGCAGGAGGAGTCCCCAGCCTGGTGGGCTTTCCAGTTGCCTGGCCTTGTCCAGACCTCACAGTGCCATGCTGTTTTCTCGGTGTCTTCTCCCTGTAGTCTCCATTCTTCCTCTTACCTACATGCCCCTCTTCCTTTTGCCTGCCTAACTAGTCCCATTTCCTTTTACAGTCTGATTGCCTCTAAGGCCCTCTTCTCCTTTTTGTAGAACCCTTTCCTCTCTCTTTTCTCCTTTAGTAGTTAGGATTTTCACTGTACCTATGAGCTGCTGCATGTTCCTGCATCTTCAGGAAACCAGAAAAGTTAGTTTCCATAATCGACGTTGTGTTTTCCCCTTTATCTCTTTGTTTCTGTTTGTGTGGTACCTGGTGAGTTCTGTAACCGCTGTGGACCAGCCATCATGGGAGACTCACTGGACCAGATAGAGCAGGTGCTATTTTTAGCCCTTAGGTTGAGACAGTATCCCATATCCTTTAAGGCTGCCCTTAGAAGTCTAAGCCAGATTGTTGTAGCAGTAGAAGGTAGGGCTGAAGGTTACACCTTTCTTTTCAGCTCCTAGATCAATATTAGTGACTTAATGAGACCCCACTGTCACCCCATGCCGCACCAGCTTTGTGAATGCCTCCAGCTTCGGAGGCTGCCTTTTTTTTTTTTAGGGACAGAAGGGCAACTTTTTATTTTGAAGTAACTTCATATTTACAGAACAGTAGCCAGAATAGTGCAGAGAACTCTTACATACCCTTCACCCGGATTCCCCAGTTAACATTTTACCATATGGGCTTACGTTCGTCTTTCCATACACACATACTTAAGGTTATTATTTTTCTTCTGAACCATTTGATTTTTAAGTTACAGAGTTGCGGGCCCTTTACCCCCAAATACTTGACTCTATATTCCTAATAATAAGGATATTCTCTTAACAACGGTTATCAAAATCGGAAGTCAACATTGACAAAATACTATTATTGCATTCACAGACCTTACTTAGTTTGTGCCAGTTGCCCTAATTTCTTTATAGCAAGGGGAAAAAAAAGTTGTTTTCTGCTCTGGGATCCAGTGCAGGAGCACACGTTGCATTTAGATATCATCGTGTCTCTTTAATGTCCTTTAATTTGGGATGGTTTTTCTGTCTTTCTTTGTCCTACATGTCCTTGTCATTTTTGAAGAATATGAAGCATTTGCACAGTGTCCCACAGTTTGGGTTTCTCTGGTGTTTCCTTGTGATTAAATTCAGGTCATGCAGTTTTGGCAAGAACTCTGGTGCCATCTTGGTACTGTGCTGAAGGAAGGCTGGAAGGGTGGGCTAGAGGCCAGAGTAGAGGCTTCAGCCAAGCCACAGGTGAAGCAGAAGCAGTTGTGTCCAGGGGCAGACCCAGTACACTGGTTCTCTCTTTGTCCTACTTTTCAGAATCCTCTTAGGTGCTGGCGCTTGTCCTCGCTTCTGGGCCTATCTTTCCTGTGGACTTGGTCTCCCTTCCCTAAGAGCTTGCTGCCGTCCCAGCGCCCCAGGCCTCACTCGGGGGCTACAGCAGACATAGGCCCAGTTCTCACCCTTTGCCTCTGCAGCTCAGCTGTCCTCTCCTGAGGACCAGGATGACCAAGACGACATCAAGGTGTCTTCCTTTGTCCCGGACCTGAAGGAGCTGCTCCCCAGTGTCAAAGTCTGGTCAGATTGGATGCTCGGCTACCCGGACACCTGGAATCCTCCTCCCACATCCCTGGATCTGCCCTCGCAGTGAGTTGACCTGCCCATTGCTTCAGCACCACTGGCTTGGGCCTGCCCGTGTTCCTACAGCTCCCCTCTTCATCCTGCTCTGTTTCTTTCTGCCCACAGCCTGCCTGCCTCTCTATTTCTTCTTTATTTGAACTTTTTTTGAATACCTTCCCTATCCTCTGATGTTTTAGGTTATTTTTTCCTGTTCTCCAGGCCTCTTCCCCCTCCTCTCACACTCTCTTTTTCCTCTCACTCTCCATTTTGTTATTTGTTCTTGCTCTCGTTCCCTCATCCTCACTCCATATTGTGCATACTCACCATCTCTGCAGCTGCCTCTGGAGTCTGGATTTGTGTGGATATGTGTGTGTGAGACTTTGTATCTTCTCTTATTAGTTTTTCTGTGCATCTTGCTTTTTTTTTTTTTTTTGAAACAGGGTATCACTTTGTCACCCAGGCTGGAGTGCAGTGGCATGATCTCAGCTCACCCAGGCTGGAGTGCAGTGACGCGATCTCACTGCAACCTCCACCTCCCAGCTCATGTGATCCTCCTGCCTCGGCCTCCTGAGTAGCTGGGACCACAGGTGCACACCACCACGCCTGGCTCATTTTTTGTATTTTTCGGTAGAGACAGGGTTTCGCCGTGTTGCCCAGGCTGGTCTTAAACTCTTGAGCTCAGGAGATCCACCTGCCTCAGCCTCCCAAAGTGCTGGGATGACAGGCATGACCCACCATGCCCAGCCTTCTCTGCATCTTTAAGGCTCTCTCACTGCTGCTTGTGCTGTCTTCTGCAGTTTGTCTCCTGGCATGGCAGCGTGTGGGGAGGCTGAATGCATGCACATCTCTCTTCCATTCACTCATGCCCTGTCTTCTCACCACGTCCCTCCCCTCGCCCCCTGTCTTCTCACCACGTCCCTGCCCTCGTCCCCGTCTTCTCACTACACCTCGCCCTCGTTTCCGTCTTCTCACCATGCCTCTGCCCTCACCCTCATCCCCTGTCTTCTCACCATGAGCCTGCCCTCGCCCCCTGTCTCTGTGTGTCAGTCTGGCATCTCTCAGAGCATTTGTGTATAGCAGAGAGCATTTGTGTATTGGGGGCGGGGGCAGGTGTTGGAGTCTGTGTGTCTGTCTGGGTGTATTTACGTAGATCAGTTTATGTGTTTGTATACCTTTTTCTTTTTCTTTTTTTTAATTGTGGAGATAGATGTAACATTTGCCATCTTAACTATTTCTAAGTTCGGTGACATAAATTACATTTACAGAGTGTTGTGGAACCCCATATGGTTACTTCTTTTATCTTTGTCTATATCTGTGTCTGGGTTGTGTCCGACTCTGTGCTTGTCTAGGTCCATTTGTCTGTGTGTCTGTAAGTCTGTGTGTGTCTTAGTGTCTGTATCTGAGCGCAAAGTTCTGTGTGTCTGCCTCTGGGCGCTTGTCTAGGGGTCTTTCCGTGTGCCTGGTCCATGTCTGTCTGTGTTTACTTGTCCATGTGCATCCATCCAACTGTGGCCACGTGTGTTGTTATCTGTATGTGTTCATGTGGGATGTCCGTATCTATGTCTGTATTTGTGTCTATACCTGTTTGTGTCTGTATATCCTTGAGTATATATATCTCTGTATGGGATTCATGTGTCCCCAAGTAGGTTTCTTTCAGTGTATGTCTGTGTTTTCATGTCTCTGTGTCCACATCTATAGCTGTCTTTTTTTTTTTTTTTTTTTTTTTTTTGAGATGGAGTCCCGCTCTGTCTCCCAGGCTGGAGTGCAGTGGCATAATCTTGGCTGCAACCTCTGTCTCCTGAGTTCAAGCTATTCTCCTACCTCAGCCTCCCGAGTAGCTGGGATTACAGGCACCTGCCACCACACCCGGCTAATTTTTGTATTTTTAATAGAGACGGGGTTTTACCACGTGGGCCAGGCTGGTCTCAAACTCCTGACCTCAGGCAATCCACCCGCCTCAGCCTCCCAAAGTGCTGGGATTACAGGCGCATGAACCACCGTACCCAGCCTTTTTTTTTTTTTTTTTTTTTTTGAGACGGAGTTTTGCTCTTGTTGCCTGGGCTGGAGTATAATGGCGCGACCTCAGCTCACTGCATCCTCAGCCTCCCATGTTCAAGCAGTTCTCCTGCCTCAGCCTCCCAAGTAGCTGGGACTACAGGCATGTGCTACCACACCCAGCTAATTTTTTATTTTTAGTAGAGATGAGGTTTCACTATGTTGGCCAGGCTGGTCTCAAACTCCTGACCTCAGGTGATCTACCCACCTCAGCCTCCCAAAGTGCTGGGATTACAGGTGTGAGCCACCCCATCTGGCCCTTTTTTTTTTTCCCCCCAGAGTCTTGCTCTGTTGCCCAGGTTCAAGTGCAGTGGCATGATCTCAGTTCACTGTAGCCTCTGCCTCCTGGGTTCAAGTGATTCTCCCACCTCAGCCTCCCAAGTGGCTGGGATTACAGGTATGAGCCACCAGGCCTGGCTAATTTTTTTATGTTTAGTAGAGATGGGGTTTCACCATGCTGGTCAGGCTGGTCTCAAAACTCCTGCCCTCCAGTGGTCCACCCGCCTCAGCCTCCAGAAGTGCAGGGATTACAGGCGTGAGCCACCACATCAGACCAGTGTATCTGTCTGTGTCTGTGCTGATTCTGGGTCCATGTCAGTCTGTGTCTGTGTCTGGGTCTGTGAGTATGTGTTCCTGAATGTCTGTGTTGTGTCCATGTTTGTGTGTAACTATGTCTCTGTATGCCAGTCTGGATCTCTCTGTTAGAGGGGGTTTCTGTGTATGTGGGTCTTCCTGTATCTGCCTGCCTTGCCTTTTACCTACCTGTCTGTCTGTCTGTCCTGGCCTGTCTCTGCCTGCCTGCCTCTGTCTTTCTCTTTGCCTCTGCTTTCGTCTGCCTCTGCTGTGTGTGTGTGTGTGTGTGTGTGTGTGTGTGTGTGTGTGTGTGTGTCGCACGCACCTGTATCAGGGATCAGCATACCATGGCCCACAAGCTAATAATGGTTTACATTTTTAAATGGTTAAACAAAAAATCAAACGAGTACTATTTCATGACTCATGAAAATTGTATAAAAGTCAGATTTTAGTGTCCATAAAGTTGATTGGAATATAACCATGCTTACTTGTTTACACTGTGTCTATGGCTGATTTCACATTACAGAGCAGAGTTGAGTAGTTGCCACAGGCTGTATGGTTCACACGGCCTGGAATATTTGCAGTTTAGCTCATTACAGAAAAAGCTTGCTGACTTCAATCTCTGTCCATGTTCCATGTGTCACATTCTTCTTTGTGTTAGTGTCACTGTGTGTGTTCATGTTTGTACAACTGTGCGTGTAGGCTCCATCTCTGTTCAGCCCTGTTCACTATTCATCTCTCCCTCCTGCTCACTTTAATTTTTCCCTCCCTCCCTCCCTTCTTTCTTTTTTCTTTCTTTTTCCTTCTTCCCTCCCTTCCTGCCTTCCTACCTTCCTTTCCCAGGGTCTCGCTCTGTTACCCAGGGTGGACGGCAGTGGCACGATCACAGCTCGCTGCAGCCTCGACCTCCTGGGCTCAGGTGATTCTCCCACCTCAGTCTCCCAAGTAGCTGGGACTACAGGCATGCACCACCAACCCGGCTAACTTTTTGTATTTTTTAAATAGAGATGGGGCATTGTCATGTTGCCCAAGTTGGCCTTGATCTCCTGGGCTAAAGCGGTCTGCCTGCCTCGGCCTCCCACAGTGCTGGGCCTCTCTTTCTTATCTCTACTCTTCCTTAGTGTCTCTGTCTTTCTCTGTTTCACCCCTGCCCACCCCACCCCCCTGGCCATTTCTCGTTTCCCTCTTCCTTTTCTTCCCCTACCCCACATTCTCTCAGTGTGGTCTTCGGCTGGTGCTGTGTACCCAAAGCTCCTTCATGCTCTGTGTTATGCATTTATGTGTGTTTCAGAACAAGCATCTCCAGTGTTCTTCTCTGGAGAGAAGTAATGCTGGGGGATAGATTATGGAGACCCTGGCTACTTTGGAGGGCACTTTTGGGGAGTAGGGAGGGGAGCTTGTTTGACTTGGGGACCAGCCATGTGAGTCTCCTAGACTCATGGGTAACCTCCAGAGGGAAGGCTAAAGCAGAGATTTCTGGGCAGCAGTTTATGTGTGGACTGTGTAGTCTGATTCTTCCCCTTTTCTTTCTAAATTTTTTCCCTGTACTTGCCTCAAGATGTACCCCCTGGACTGTTATTAATCTCAGTCTCCCCATGCCCTCCCCACCTCTAGCTCTGTAACGGTGTGGGCGGCACTCACAGCATCGGACAGTTCTCTGCATCCTATCTGTGGGCCCTCCTAGGTTTCCAAAATGCACTCCAGGCTGAAGCCTTGGAGCTCCAAGCTGTGCAGCTGGGGCCACACAAAGGAACTGACGGATCTGCTGGCCAGGGGACAGCTGTTTCTCAGCAGTGATCCCCAAAGAGTTAACATCTACAGCCTCAAACTTTTCAGGCTATTAATCTGTAATGAGGACTAGGCAGTTTGCAGTTTTGGAACGAAAATGCCAAGAAAGGACTCAGTTCTCCAAGTATCTAAGCCACTGCTTCTGAGCATGCACAAGGGTCACTGAGTGTCCCTTCCTTACTCTCAGGGTGGGGAGGCAGACCATCTGTCCTTGGAGCCTGGGCCTTCCCCGGGTCACCTCACCTCACAACCACAGGTCTCTTAGATAGGATTCACACAGCCCCTGTTTACCCATATCCCGGGCCACAGGTCTGTTAGCTCTCTCACGCAGCATGTCTCCCTTCATCCCTCCTCCCTCTCTCACTCCCTTTTGGCTTTTGTTCGGCTGAGGAAATGGAAAGCTCACACAGGAAGTGCTGGGTCTCATTTGCTTGAGATGCTGAGTCTGTTTTCTCTTTGGATGCTGCAGCAAATGGCCCGTTGCCGGCTCTGAGCTGCTGCCCATCTTTGGGCAAGGGCTCAATCTACAGGCAGGCACGTGGTCCAAGCTACAGCCATCCCCGGCTGGGCTTCACATTCTGGGCTACAGAGAGGCAGAGGGGGTTGGGACATTTGAGTCATATTTGCTTAGTCTTCTCAGACTTCTTCACGAGGAGAGCAAATCTGACCAAATAGTATATTGAATTTAATTACCCAGCAAATACGTTACCGTAGCTGTGGATACCACTTACTCTCTCGTGAAGCCAGTCCGGGCTAGAGAGATAAAACAGTGTAATAGAGAAAAACATCTCCTTCTGTGCTCTCTTTCTTTCTCTCTCTGCAGTTAGGATCAGCAGCTGGTTATCTCTGGAATGCGAGTTTAAGCATGAAAGAGAGGCTTTGCTATCCTGGGGCCTGACCCCAAGGCATGGCTATTTAAGGACTGGTGCCCGCGTTCAACAGAGCAAACCTGGCCTGACTACCACTGAGGGTAGTCCCACCTCAGAGTCTTCAGATCAGAGGCCTGGAAAAGTGGAATCAGAATTGCACCTTCCTTCTTTTGTTTCCCATATTCTCATGTAGCTTCCTAATACTCACTGAGTAAATACTCTGGTTGAGAGATTGGCAAAGGTATGGTGCTTTTGTGGGTTTCAAACTTAATCTCATGCCCACTGACCTTACAGATTGAAGAGGCTTTTCTTTTAAGGTCATAGAGAATAACACACCCCAATGGTTCTGTAGATGCCAAAACTGTAACCCCCCTGACGCTTGTAAAGTCCTTGTTGCTGCTCATCGTTTTGAAGGGTTTGGAAATGCTCCCAAGGGAGCAGGAATGAAATGGCTGCTGTTTAGTGCCCCTTCTTGGCATGCTTTCATTGGTCTTTGCCTGAGTTTCTTCTTTGCAAAGATACATTTCTCTGATCCTAAGATAAGGTGACCAGAGAGCCTGTTTTTCCTACAAAGAGGAAGTCTCCTTTGCTTTTCCTCCAGAAACCCCACTTCCAAATGGTCCCTCTGACATGTGGGACCCTTCTTTCATCTCTCTTCCTTCATTCCCTCCCTGTCTTTAATTTGTTACCCTCTTTCCTTATGCAGTTAGAGAATCATTGCACAGCATCTTCCCCTCTCTGAGGGGAATTCCAGGGTTCATCTTGAGTTTCCTTGGTTCTCTCCTCTTTGCCCATGCTCCTCTTCCTTCCAGTCAAAACCACAACAGCAGGCACATGTGGAACACCTAGGATGATGATGAGAGTATCGTTGGCACTGCAGAGTGATGAGGGCAGGATTGCTGGGCATGTGGGCATGTGTGCCTTCCCTCGCTGTGGCACTTATTAGATCTGTGTGTTAGAGCCAGCATGGATGGAAGCAAGTTGACTCCCCAGTTGTACCCGTTAGGGATTGTAACAGAATGGCTTCATAATCCCAGGAGATTATTGGTATAGAGGATTATAGCAGGATGTGGAAAGTGGCCTGGGGCCACTGTGAAAGTCAATGTAGAGTGCTGGGTGTGTTTAGGACAGACTGCTTGGTTTGGAGGGCCCACCTACTTGCCCCATCTGCTAGCATAGTTTGTGTTCCCATCCACACCAAGCCTCTGGTGAGAAGGGAGAGGCAGCTGCACCCCTACTTCGGCAAGTGAGCACAAGGAAAGTCGTGCTGGAGAGGAGTAGAGCGACAGGCTTCATGGACCTGAGCATAGTGACCCCTTGCATCCCAGGACCTTTGGCAAGGCTAGGGCAGTGGGACAGCCTACCTCATTTCAGTCTCTGCTGAGGCCAAATCTTCACTTATCCTGATTTCTAGTTCTCAGTAAGTGAAAGAGTCAGGGGACTTTGAGAACATCCAAACCTAGCCCAGCTGTGGCAGTTGGTTTATTGCTTTCAGCTGGTACTTGAACCCAGGTCCTGGTCTTGGAGGCTTTCCCAGGTTTAATCCCCAGAGCTTTCTCTGCAGCTGTATGACACTGCGCTGACCCCGAATGAGGATAGGAAAATAGAACCAGTGCCAAGCCAGAGTCTCTTTTTCATTTGGAGTCTGGCTGTCTGCCCATGACCAGGGTTACATAATGGGAAACATAGCTGGGGCTCTGGAGAGCCCGCGTTTCACCAGGCTGCCCAGACCTTCGCATTCTGATGCTATATATCTTCCTAATTGTAGCTCGGATGCATTTATCACACTGTTGGATTGGAGTACTGTTTAAAAAAAAAAAAACTCTAGAAATTCTTGTACTTGCTGCTTTTCCATGGATCGTCTTCCATAGTCTACAGAGCACACTGGAGAAGGGTCGTAGGGAGCCCTCTGAGGTCTTGTCACATAGGGAGAAAGAGGGATACGTAGGGCGTATGCAGTAAGCTGACTTCCTTAGGGAGCTTCCATGTGTTGACTCTGTAGATGAGATAGAAATTCTCAAGTTAAAAAACAACTAGTTCACTCACCTTCATAGGGCAGCTCTGAAATAAGAACTAATCCCAAGGCTAATCGGCACCCCTTCAAGGACACTTAATATGCCTTCCCAAAAGGGCATTTTAGGAGGTCACTGAGTAATAGTCCATCAGCACTTCCCTGAAGGAAGTGGTGGTGGCTGTGGGAAGCCCCTTTGCTACCCTGGCTCCCCACCCAGTCTCCCTGGCTCCGGGTTGGGGCGTTAGCACTGCAGCCTGGCACCAGGGGGTTCCTCTTCCTCCAAGTGCTGAGTGTGGGGCACACGTGATCTCTCCCACGGCAGGAGCCCCTGTCCCCTCCCCACGCCTCCCGTAGGACTCCTTGTGAGAGGAAGGGGTGTTGGCCTAAGGCTCCAGTCTGACCCCAGCAGGGTACAGCAGCTGACCCCAGGGAGAGTACTTTCCAGCTCTGAGCTGAGGTTATTTGGGTCCAGTGTGTGCTAAGCTAAGAAGACGTGTTGGAGTGGTTACAGCTAAAAGTTTGGAGAGGCAGGAACCGTGAGAATCCGCACCAGGGAGGCCGCCGAGGGCTCCACTCATGCCGTGGAGATGTCAGGATCCCCTAGGGGCTGCTCTTTCCCAAACATACAGTGCTGATGGGTTTAGCACACCATAGTGATATGACAGAGGCTATACATATGAGGGTGGCTTTGGAGAACTGAAATCAAATAAGGCGCCGACCCCGAACATATTGGGGGCAGTGGATGGTTGAGGTGCTCTGATACTTGAGAAATCCTGGAACGAGGTTACTGTGACCTATTGCTGGCCATAGGGTTCCAGCTGCCCTGCTTAGAACATGGAGAGGTTTATATTCTTGCAGTAGGGCAGGATGACTAAGCTTCAGAATTTGATTTGCCCTTTTGGGCAAAATTGATTTAGGGTGAGTACTCTCCCAAAGTCCCAAGTCGACTTGTTGGTATAAATGAGAAAGATAGAAGGGATTACCTTCATCTAAGTCTGGTCTCTTTAGGGGTCACCCAGCAAACATCTCTTATTCTTAGAGGATGGTGTCTTGCTGCTCATATCTTAACTCCTGGAATGGTGGCCTTTGATACCTTTGTCTCTTCTTTGTATCATGTGGCATCTGGATGACACATTGTTGCTAGAAATCTCCAGGAGCCGCATAGAATTCTCCCCATCTCCAGCCCAGCCCAGGGCCTCTTGAGCTACCTAGCACTGAGGTACCAGAATCAAATCCTTCGCCCAATGCAAACAGAGTTGGCATGACATCTTGGCTTTCCAAGAGGCATGCTAAGCCATTTCAAGCCCGGGTATTATTCTTTTAACTCTGCCACACTTATTGGATTCAAGTCCATTTCTGCTATTAGCTGCTGAATTCCTGCAGTTTTCTCCAGTGGAGTGAGAAGCTCTCCAGGGCAACAGTGGTCTTATGTTAGCCTCTGACCCCTGCGTGGACAGTTGTAGGCTAGGATATAATGGCCCACAGGGAAACCGTTTGAAAAGGCAGATATTGCATGTCTTAGGCGTGGTTCTCTTGTTACAGCCATTTGTCTTTGTGTCTGTACCACATGGGTGTCCTCTTTTTCAGCTTCTTTGTGCCTAGCTTCTGTGCCATCTTGGCTGTATTTCCAGATCTCCTCACTCCAGGAACCAGAAGACCCAACTTGTTTCCCATCTGTACTGCTTCTCTGATCTTCCATAGCTCTGAAACACAATGCACGGCTTCTTCTCACTCAACTCTTTCCGGGTTTGTTCTGCAGCTGTGGAGTTTGAATGTTAGTGTTTAAACAAGCTGGTATTACACAGGAAATGGCCACCTCCACAGGCCCCAGCAGGCTTGTAACATGGGGTCATTGTACTTGATGTTAATCACCAGTCAGCTTGTTCCCCCAGTAAAATATGAAGGAGTGTGTGAGTGCCTCATCCTCCTTAGACTTGCCAGGAAGATGGACTGAGTCTTGGTCAGGCGTTGGTGCTCCACTCTTTTCAGACTCTCTCCTCCTCTCAGTCCTGCCCCAGTGGAGCTTTCAGAAAAAGTCCTGCCTGACTCCTTCCCTATGAAGCTGGCAGACTGCCTTTCTGAGTTCTGGGCAAGAAGGTAGATTATTGTGGTGTGACGTGTCTCACCTGGCATACCTTAATCTGTCAGAGGATGCTGCAGTTGGGTAACCTCTCCTGTGAGAAAAGCAAAATTTTAGGAACACAGAAACCCATGGCCCCTCTGAGAGCAGGGCTTCTCAGTTCCCTGGACGTCAGCTGCCTTTCTACAGCTATTTGCAGAACTCACCTCAGCCTGAAGGGTTAATCTGATTCCGGAGTCAATATCCCCCAAACAACCAGCCAGGAGTGTGTGTTGGTTTGTTTCTGTGAAATGTGTTTCCCCAGTCACCTGGGCTGGCCTGGGCTGCATTGTATCGGCCAGCAGCTGCACTGCACTCAAACTGACAGATACATTAAACCTTGGAATTCTGAGGCAATAAAAAGTAAATTAACTCTTATTTTTTTCCTTTCCTGGTGGACTAAGTGAATGCATGTCTGTAGGGAAGCAAGTGAGCCTTGGTTCTGAGTGCATACTTGTAACTAGTCACTGCTGGTTTGTCCCAAACTCGGATCTGGCTTTCCGACTCCAGCCAGGGCTCTGCCGTCCTGGTGTGTGGTGTGTTCTGTGGGGTTGGGCCAGTGGGTCACCTTGCAACTGCTGATCCCTGCTCTCTAATCACATCACAGCTGCTGAGAGACTCCCTGGCCATCATTCTGGGAGCCATAAGCAGGCTCATTGGACACAGTTGCGTATTCTCTGGCTGCTTTGTGTCTGCTTGGTGAACAGTCCACCCTAACTTTAGCGGGATATTGTGGACTCTGGGAATTTCCCTAAAATATGCATTGAACCAGAACAAACCAGAAGGACCTGCATGAGTCCACAGCACTCTAGAGGGTCCATTTAGAATCAAAAGTTGTTTGAGATTATTTGGGAAACCTTCTGGGAAGTTATTTCCCAAGCATTTCCAAAAGATTGGCAGCTGTTTACAGATCCTCATCGCCACCCGAATTTGACTTTTGGCTCCTTGGCCCTGGCCAACCTTGAATCCATAGGGCCTAAGGGCTGCTGTCGGGTGAAGGCTAGAAGGTGCTCCTGGTTGGGATGAGGAATTAAAGCAGGAAAAAGCTAAGCTTTTCTCCTTCTACAGACAGGAAATCCTATGTGCACCCACAGAACTGACCTCCCAGCCCAGAGGCCTGATTGGGGTAAGCTGAGGTGATGTTGCCCAGCTTCCAGGAATTACCTCATCCTTTTGCAAATATCTTAACTTTTGAGTTCAGACATCTCACCTGGTTTTTCAAAGCACCTCTTCCTTTGAGTTTCCTGACACTCCCTCACTCCTGTAGAGAGTCACTGTGTCGCCCATGGGTCTCTGGGTAGTTGTGTTGTGTTCATGTCTGTGGTGTTCGATGAAAGGAGATAACTGATGATATGAATGTGAACTGAGTTTGGGTGATCCCACTGAAACACCAGAAGAAGGCAGCTACTCACAATCAGAGCACAAGACCAATTTGAATTAACCAGAGCAGAAGTGACCTCTCATTGAAGCATTTTGTGTATTTCCTTGGTTCTGCACAGTCTAGCTTGGCTCTTGGACCACTTTTATTTATATTTCTGAGTTGGGAACTCTGGGCACTCCCTGTGTCTTTTGGCATCAGCTGCTTTCTTACAAATCAACATTGAGGTAGGGATTCTCGTCCACCTTATTTTTGCAGTGAGTCTCAAGGTTTTGGTACAAGGTGGGTGGTAATGGGCAAAAAGGCGTATGTGGGCAGGGGTCCCTAGTGGTGGCCAGCAGTCTCTGGGAGGAGTCAGTTTTGGTTTATCTGAGCCTTAGGGGACAGGAGAGCATGGTAATGAGAACCACATGGTACCACATATTTCTTCATCTTGGATCCAAGATGGTAGGGGTGGGAGGATGAGAGAGGGATGTGGGGCCTCCCACTGTGGCAGCCGTGGGTAATTTTCGGCCGCCTCTCTCTGGCTGGGGATGCTGCTGCCCACACCACCCCCAACCCCCAACTATGTCCTGCAGCAGCCTTGACCTGCACGCACCAACCAGGGCCCCCAAGCCAAGAATTCAGCTGGGAGACTTTTCACCTTCTTCCTTCTCACTGTCGTCTTTCCTGTTTATTTTCCAAATTGCTGCTCTGCAGCCGAGCAGTGCCTGTTGGCCAAAGCTCACCAGTGCTGTGGGATCAGACTCAGGCAGCGGGCTCAAGTGGCCAGCAGGGCACTGGGGGAGGAAGCGGGGAACTGGAAGAGCCTCCCTGTGCGTCTCCCATGGGCAGCACTAACCTCGGAGGCGGCCCTGAGCAGCCCTATCACATCCGGTGCTTGTCTCTGCAGCCGGGACCGGAGGATAAACTATCAGGGCTGTGGGGCAGTGCATCATTCCTCTTATTATTTTCTTCTCTGCAGATGGGGTCGTGGAAAGTTCAGTTCCTTTTAACCCTCGAAGTTCTGTTTATTCTACAGCTGGTAGCCTGAATGCCGCGTTTCCCATTACATCACAAAGGAGCTCAGGCAGATCTCTGCACAGAAACGTGTTGCAACTGTTTATTTTTTTCCATATTTAAACATTTCTGACAGCCAAACCCGGCTGAGCCAAAAGATGGAGCTTTGTGAATGAGTCTGGTTGTCGGTGTCTGCGCTGAGAGAGGCTTTAGAAAACTCGTCCCTCCGGTGATTCTTCCCAAACATGTTCTTTTTCCTGGGTAAAGCCTGTGAAGCGAGTTACTTCTGCAGTACACGTGTGTTGATTATGTGCCGTTGTGTGATTAATGGGGCTGTGTTCCGTCTGGTTCCCAGGACACTCTTGAAAACAAGATGTTTCATTTCATTGCCTTTTCCTAGTGCAATGATTACAGTAAATAAACCATTGCAGCCTCCTTCCACCTGGAGCCAGTCAGGGAGTTCCCATACCTCTGCTCCACTTTCTCCCCCACTGTCACCTTCGGTGGCATGTCCCTTGAATGCTTTCTTTTCTGCCATCTCCCAAAGATTCTTGGTCTCCAGGAGAAACAAATTGCTTAGATCTGAGGCCCCTCCCTAGTAGGACTCATAGGCAGTAACTCCACTGGGGAGATTCCAGGATGATTCTTCTTTGTTGTTTTTAGCAAGAGGGTCTCACTGTGTTGCCCAGGCTGGTCTTGAACTCCTGGCCTCAAGTGATCCTCCCTTCTCATGTTCCCAAAGTACTGGGATTACAGGCGTGAGCCACCACACCCCGCCCAGGATGATTCTTACAGCTCTCTTTACATATTGCCTCTTGCCACTCTAGCTCATGAATCTAATTGTGAAGCTTTTCTTTGTAATTCTCCTATGCATCTCTCTTCTTTTAGAGTAAAACTTAGCATCCATAGGATATTATCTGTTCCAGACTCCTGGTTAGGTGCTTTCCTGGAGAAGAAAGCCAAGTCTGTAGCCTTGGCAGGCCCTATATGCTTACCACAATTTGTAGTATCCCTGGGCAGGCCAAAAAAAAAAAAAAAAAAAAAAAAAAGCTTTATGGATCCTCAGCACCCACCAAAGCAGGAATCTGACCCACAGTCGATTTTTGACAAGTGATGGTGACAGAGAAATGAACCTCTTTTTTTATAATTCTATGCTGAAATTTCAATTAAGGAGAGCCAGACTTTGCAGTTTCAAGGTTTCTTCTCAGGTTCAGCCAGGACCTGGTGATACGCAATTAGGACAGCCAGCCATCCCAGTTTGCCCAGGACTGGGGGGTTTCTGGGGACGTGGGACTTTCAGTGCTAAAACTGGGACAGTCCCACACAAACCGGAATAGTTGATCACCCTGTATCTCACCTTCCACAAATGAGAGAAAGGAGAGGTGTGGAATGGCTGAGACAGCGCTGATGAATTGTGTAAGAGGCTTTACCTTCCTGTGAGGATCTTGATGGGCCAGGAATGAGGTTTTTGTTTGTTTGTGTGATTGGTTGATTGATTGATTGATTGCCTGCCTATATATAGGGAAGAGATTTCTAAAGCATTGTAGGAGGAAAACATGCATGACTCTTGCTGTATTGTGACTAGACCCTCCATGGCTGTGGCTGGAGGAGGAGAGGCTGGTGCTCAGTTGCTGTCTGTGTGGCATGTACTTGGCTGGACAGCAGTGGGGAATTCTGGGAGCAGCCACAAGCACTGGGTGTCTAGAGTGTTTGAGTAAGCGTCTCAGGCACACTGTCTGGAAAGATGACAGGACCCTGCATTAGGCAACTGAGTCTCCAAATTCTTTTTCCTCTCTGGTGAGGATTAAAAACTCCCCCTAATCAATTTCAACTTTGCATAAATCCACATACACATACCTCAGATTGCTGCCTTGGGCACAGTTTTGTTTCCTAGCATTTTTGGGGTATGATTTCCTGGCAGATGCCAGCCTAGACAACATTTGCTGCAAGTACTTCCCTGCTCACAAATACTGAGAATACTTTTTTTTACTGGTCCCTCTTTAGAGCTGCTCTTTTCTTACCTTATTTCTCACAGTGTTGCTGTGGATGTATGGTCGACGCTGGCTGATTTCTGTAACATACTGACTGCAGTGAATCAGTCTGAGGTGCCACTGTACAAGGACCCGGATGATGACCTCACCCTTCTTATCCTGGAAGAGGATCGGCTTCTCTCGGGCTTTGTCCCCTTGCTGGCTGCCCCTCAGGACCCCTGCTACGTGGAGAAAACCTCGGATAAGGTCAGCCCCAGGCCAAACATCCCTCCCCATTCGCCCCTCCTCTTAATTCTCCAGACTTTTTTATTCTTGGGAAGTTTTCTGTGCAAATGGAACATGATTAAGTCATTGAGAAGGGTGTTAAGGGAAAATATCGACCTTTTAGCCGCTGACATCCAGCTCTGTGTCCTGAAAAAAAAAAGCCCTCTCGACTTCCTTTGGTGTGTGTGTGTGCTTGCTGGCATGTTGTATATACGATCATTTCCTCACTTGTTTAAATAGTGCAGCTTGTGTTGGCAGTGCTCTCACTCAGCTCCAAATGGTTTGCATCATGCTTAAAGCACCCTCCTTTCTCCCCCTTCCTCCCCGCCCCCCTCCGCCACAAAGCTCTGCACTAGGAAAACAGCCAGGGCTTTTTCCCTTCTCTGAGGAGGAGAGTGATAAATAGGTGACTAGAGAGAAGCAGACACCATGTGTTAACTTAGAAAAAAAAACTTGTAGGAATATGAAGCATTCCCCACTGCCTGGTTTCTATTTTCCTTCCTCTGAGGACTGCGTTTTAACCTGAACGTTTTTCTTGCCTGTCTGTTTATAGAAAACAAAGCCGATTCCCTGTTGCGCTGTTGGAGACTGTGGAGTTCTTAGTCTCTGCTTATCAGTTGGGTTTTCAGCCAGGTAAAGAGTAGGGGTAGTCCAGTCGGCTTCACATTTCCCACGTGTAATAACAGTTACTAGGCTAGGGAAGTAGTAGCCACCGAGCTTGGGAGCGAAGTGCTGTGTGGAGGCAGGAATACCCTGTGACTGACTTCTCTGCAGAGTAGTGAGGATCACATCCCCTGGGGACAGGCCTTTGGGGAGGCTCCACAAATGTCTTCTCAGGAGGAAGTCTTTTGACCTACATGAAGTATATACTAGGGACATAGGGAGATGTTAAAAAAAAAAAAAAAAAGTAAAAATTCCAAACATGAGCCACAAATATGAGAGACTTTATGTAGAATATAAAGTCTTGGCCCGTTGCAGTGGCTCACACCTTTAATCCCAGCACTTTGAGAAGCGGAGACGGGCGGATCGCTTGAGCCCAGGAGTTTGAGACCATCCCTGGCAACATGAGAAACCTGTCTCTACAAGCAAACAAGCAAACAAACAGTTTTTAGTATAAAAGAGTATTTGTTCACTGTGGAAAATCTGGAAAACACACACAAATAAAAAGAGGAAAAATTATCCGTAATCCTTCTTTCTACCCAGAAGTGAGAGCACTGTTATTTTGCTGATCATATATAATCGTATTTAATTTATAGTACACACACACACACACACACACACACTCTTTCATTTTCAATAAAACTGGAGGTTATATTAATATTTATATATACTATTTGTTTTTATTTTATTTTATTATTATTATTTTTAGATAGAGTCTCACTCTGTTGCCCAGGCTGGAGTATGGTGGCACAATCTCAGCTCACTGCAACCTCTGCCTCCCAGGCTCAAGTGATCCTCCTACCTCACCCTCCCACATAGCTAGGACTACAGGCACCCACCTTCATACCTAGCTAATTTTTGTATTTTTTATAGAGATGGGGTTTCACCATGTTGCCAGGCTGGTCTCAAACTACTGAACTCAAGTGATTTACCTGCCTCAGTCTCCCAAAGTGCTGGGATTATAGGTCTGCGCTAACATGCCCAGCTGTATATACTGTTTGTAATCTGCTTTTTTCCTAACATTTTTAATATATTCTTATATGGAATCATTTTTATAGTTACCCAGAATTCTTTTATATTCCAAGATTTCTTTAACCAATCTTTGCTTTATTGAACCAAGAGAATGTTCCCAATTTTTTTACAGTTATGAATAGTGTATCAATTTCTTGTAGCAGAATTTGAGCATATATTCCCTTTGGTTAAATTGCTGTAAGTAGATTAAGGTTCTAGACATTGATATATCAAAAACTCATACTCTTTGGATGCACTTAATGGCTACTACATCTTGGGAATCAGAGAACCCTTCTTTCCCAAGAGGAATACTTACTTTTTGCCTTTCCAACAAAAACGTAGAGTGAAATTCTGCTCTTCTAGTCTCAGAATGGGAAAATAATGGGGATTTGTAGTATGTGAGGCTGAGGACAGCTAACAAGTTGTTTTATACATGTGGAAGATGTTGAGTTAGAAGAGAGACTGGATGACATGGCTTGGGCCAGAGGATCCCCATACTTTTCTTTGGTGATCACAAGGTGGTCTTGATTCCAGAGGATGCTTTGGGGAGTTCGCTATTGAAGCTGTCTTTTAGTGTGGGACAGGTGCTGAGTAGAAGAGTCCTAACGAGCTTCAGACTCTTCCTACGCCCCATCTTCATCAGCTCTCTCAGCTCTAGTGTCAGATACCACGTATGTGTTTTGGCTCGAGGAGAACACAGAGCCAGCAGACCAGCCCTCAGCCTATGTAGTGATCCACAGGCTACCTAGGGGGCAGTGGCGGCTCAGTGAGACTAAGGTAGGTCTCCACTTCAACGACTGTGAAATAGGTATGTCAAACCTAACATGTCCAAATCCAAACTCCTGAATCCTGCCCCACCCGCTGCCCGCCAACCTGGTCTTCCTTTACCCTTCCCCATCTTGGTAAATGGCAGCCTTGATTTTTGGGCTGCTTGTGTCAAAATGCTTGGGGTTATTCTTGGCACTTCTTTGTCACACTTCCATATCTAATCCATCAGCAGGTAATGTCTTCTTTACCTTCAAAACACACACAGATACAATTCTGTCTTCCCACTGCACCCTGGTTCAGTTCTCTGAAATGCCTTCTGACTGGTTGCTCTGGTTCCTTCCCCCTTCTACTCTTCAGTCTATTTTTAAAATATCAGTGAGATCATGTCATTTCTTAGTTCAAAACCTTCTGATGGTTGCTCCTCTCACTTAGAGGCCAAAGTTTTCACAGTGGCCTACGATGCCCTCCATTATGTGACCCCACCTTCATCCCACTCCCAAGCTCTCTGACCTCAGGTCCTCCTACTGTCCTTCAACCCAGTGTGCTCTAGTCACATTGACATCCTTGCTGTTCCTCAAACAAACCAAGCGCTCATGCCTCAGGGTCTTTGCAGTTGCTCTTTTCTTAACCGGAAACACTCTGTACTCGGCTGTGTGCCTCTCGCACTCCCTTCTATCACCTTGGTAAAGAGAGCTTCCCTGGCCACATCATATAATCATATAAAGTGGTACTCTGCTTTATTATTCTCCATCCACGGCAGGGGAAAATAACATCTCCTGAGTATCTATCATGTATCAGTCCCTGAGCTAGGTACTTCTGTACAGTATTTCGTTAAGTTCTCTAAATAAGCCTGCCATGTAAGTATTATTACCTCCTTTTTTTTTTTTTTAAGAGATGAGTCTCACTTTGTCACCCAGGCTGGAGTAAGTGGCACTATCATAACTCACTGCCACCTCAAATTCCTGCGCACAAGCAATCCTCCCGCCTCTGCGGGACCTCTTTCTCCCGGGTTCAAGCGATTCTGTTGCCTCAGCCTCCCGAGTAGCTGGGATTACAGGCACGCCACCATGACCAGCTAAATTTTTTGTATTTTGAGTAGCTGGGACTATAGGCATGTGCCACCATGCCTGGCTGATTAAAAAAAAAAAAAGTTTTGGCTGGGCATGGTGGCTCATGCCTGTAATCCCAGCACTTTGGGAGGCCGAGGCAGGCGGATCACGAGGTCAGGAGTCTGAGACCAGCCTGGCCAACATTGTGAAACCCCGTCTCTACTAAAAATAGAAAAAGTAGCCAGGTGTGGTGGCGGGCCGTGTAATCCCAGCTACTCGGGAGGCTGAGACAGGAGAATTGCTTGAACCCAGAAGGTAGAGGTTGCAGTGAGCCAAGATCGTGCCACTGCACTCTAGCCTGGGTGACAGAGCAAGACTCCGTCTCAAAAACAAAACAAAACAACACAAAACAAAAAAAACTTTTTTTGTTGTTTTTTAATAGAGACGGGGTCTCACCATCTTGCCCAGGCTAGGCTCAAGTGATCCTCCTGCCTCGGCCTCCTAAAGTGCTGGGATTATAGGTGTGAGCCACACCCTTCAAATTTTGTAAAAGAGGATACTGAGGCTCAAGAGAAAAGAATGATGATAAGCTCACATGGGTCATTTCCATGGCCAACCTAGGAGTTGAATCTTTAGGAACTCTTGACCTTTTAGAAATCTGCAAAAGCAGACCTAGCGTGATGGCTCACGCCTGTAATCCCAACACTCTGGGAGGCTGAGGCGGGTGGATCACTTGAGGCTAGGAGTTCGAGACCAGCTTGGCCAACATAGTGAAATCCCGTCTCTACTAAATTAGCCAGGCATGGTGGTAGGCACCTGTAATCCCAGCTACTCGGGAGGCTGAGGCATGAGAATTGCTTGAGCCTGGGAGGTGGAGTTGCAGTGAGCTGAAATTGTGCCACTGTACTCCAGCCTGGGTGACAGAGTGAGACTCTGTCTCAAAAAATAAATAAATAAAATTTTTTTAAAAAAAACCTGCAAAAGGGCCAGGCATGGTGGCTCACACCAGTAATCCCAATATTCTGGAAGGCCAAAGTGGGAGGAGCACTTGAGACCAGGATCTCTAAACCAGCCTGGGTGACATAGTGAGGCCTTGTCCCTACAAACAAGTTTAAAAACAGCCAGGTGTGGTGGCAAGCGCCTGTAGTCCCAGCTACTCAGGAGCCTGAGGCAGGAGAACTTTTTAAGTGCAGGGGTTTGGTGCTCATTATGATTGCGCCACTGCACTGCAGCCTGGGTCTCAGAGCAAGACCCCGTCTGAAAAAAAAGAAAGAAAAAGGAAATTTGAAAAATATAAACATTTCCTCCAGCTTCTAGTGTTCATTACTAGGAAATGTAAAACATATCTCCAGTGCTCATCAGTGGCAGCAACGTGAGCAGCTTTATTGCTGGTCGAGATTAGTCTCATGTTTGGTCCTGCCTTGATGCTTATTCTGCAGATACTTACGAAACACGTATTGCCAACACAGCCTGGGAGATCCAGACACATAAGGCAGGTATCTTCCTAGTTCGAGAGACAGTTTGTGCCATATATAAAGATGTGAGTGGCACCATAAGTGAATTTGAAGAGTTCTTGAGTTTTGTTGAGCTGGTAATACCCCGGTGAAGGCGTGCTTCAAGAGCACTGATTTGGCATTAACGTAATCATTGTATCTTTGAAGCAGAAAAGTTTTCACCTTATATGCCTTTGAGTGCAAATACTCTCTTTGTTCTATTCTTTTCTTCAGTAATTTCTGCTGTCCTGATACATTAGATCTCCATTCTTTGTCCTATATGTCACTTTTTCTGTCATCACTTTAATCTGTTTTTGCTTTTCTTCTGCATTCTAGGAAGGTTTCTCAAGTTTGTCATCTTGATATATTTTTATAGCATTGATTCTACTCTTTACTACTTCTAGTTCAGGTTTTAAGTCTTCTATTGCATTATTTGTTCTCTTACATTATATCTTATAACCTTTATTTTTTTTGCCTGCCTTTTAGTCAGTCCCTTTATATCTTTTTTTTTTTTTTTTTTTTTTTTTGAGATGGAGTCCTACTCTGTCGCCCAGGCTGGAGTGCAGTGGTGTGATCTCGGCTCACTGCACCCCCTCTGCCTCCCAAGTTCAAACGATTCTCTTGCCTCAGCCCCCCGCGTAGCTGGGATTACAGGGGCACGCGCTGCCACAAGTAGCTAATTTTTTTGTATTTTTAGTAGAGACGGGGTTTTGCCATATTGGCCAGGCTGGTCTCGAACTCCTGACCTCAAGGTGATCTGCCCGCCTCAGCCTCCCAGAGTGCTAGGATTACAGGCATGAGCCACTGTGCCTGGCCTCAGTCCCCTTATATCTGTCTTTGCTTTTTCATTTTTCATTTAGCATACTTCACAGAGTCTATAATTTGAAGAATTCAGTTGAAGGTCAGGAGCAGTGGCCCATGCCTGTCATCCCAGCACTTTAGGAAGTCAAGGCAGACAGATCACTTGAGCCCAGGGGTTTGAGACCAGCTTGGGCAACATGGCAAAAACCTGTCCCTACAAAAAACATAAAAATTAGCCAGGGTTGATGGTATTACACCTGTAGTTCCAGCTAATCAGGTGGCTGAGGTGGAAGAATTACTTCAGCCCTGGCCGTCTAGGCTGCAGTGAGCTGTGATTGTGCCACCATACTCCAGCCCGAGGGACAGAGCAAGACCTTGTCTTTAAAAATAAATTCAATTGAAAGAATATAGCAGATAGTACCTTCTTTTTCATTTGGCATTTTTTCCCCCAAAATATAATTTGTTTCTCTATTTGCGTGCTACATTCTCCTTTTTATTAATATATTGCAGATTATTTTCTTAGACCTCAGCTCTAGTTTCTACGATTTGATGCTGGTCACTTACATTTCTTTGAACAGATTAGGTAGATTCTCACTGGATACCTTCTTTGTCTACAGTAGTTTTTTGTTGTTGTTGTTGTTTTGGAGATGGAGTCTGGCTCTGTCTCCCAAGCTGGAGTGCAGTGGCGTGACCCCCCGGCTCACTGCATCCTCCACCTATCAAGTTCAAGTGATTCTCCTGCCTCAGCCTCCCGAGTAGCTGTGATTTCAGGCACCTGCCACCACGCCCAGTTAATTTTTGTATTTTTAGTAGAGACGGGGTTTTGCTATGTCGGCCAGGCTGGTCTCAGACTCCTGACATCAAGTGATCCGCCCACCTCGGCCTCCCTAAGTGCTGGGATTGCAGGCCTGAGTCACCGCGCCCGTCCATTTTGTTTGTTTCTTTGTGTTTTTGAGACAGTGTCTCACTCTGTCACCCAGAATGGAATGCAGTGGTGTGATCATAGCTCACTGCAGTCTCGACCTCCTGGGTTAAAGCGATCCTCCCCCCTCAGCCTCCTGAGTAGCTGGGACTACAGGCAAGCGTCACCTCACCTGGCTAATTATTTTTACTTTTTTATTAGAGGCAAGGCCTCCCTGTGTTGCCCAGGATGGTCTCAAACTCCTGAGCTCAAGTGATCCTCCCGCCTTGGCCTCCCAGAGTGACCCACAGATAATAGGTGAAATCCCTTGCTCAAGTATAGAGTTTGTACACATTGAATATCCCTAGTCCAAAAATCTGAAATACAAAAGACTCTAAAATCCAAAGCTTGATTTCAGATTTTCCAATTAGGGATGCTCAACCAGTAAGGATAAAGTGCAAATATTCCAAAATCTGAAACACTTCTGGTCCCAGGCATTTTGGATAAAGAATAAGCTATATTAGCAAGTCATTAACCTCAAGGGAGTGGGAAGGGGACCAAGTGGTGTGCAATGTCAATAAATGAATTTATTTTCTACATTTTCTGTTCTGTATACAGTGGAGCTGCTGTATCAGAGCTATCGCTCATGTCTAGTTTTCAGTTTTTTTTTTTTCAGTCTCTTTCATATAAATGATACTGCAGTGTCCTGTCACCTTCTTGGAGCTACCATGTGAAGAAGAAATTCTGTCATTGGGCCACTTTCCATTTAGTATGGGAATTTGCCTTAGACCTCTCTGAACTGCTGAAGCATTGCGAATGGTACTGATTCGTAGCAGTGAGAAAGCTTCCAAGTGGTGGTCTGTGTCTACCTCATGAGCTGTCGTAACCCTTTGTGGTAGGCAAAGTAACACCCCCACCCCAAAGAGGTTTATGTCTTCAATCTCTAAAACCTGTTACATGTTACCTTACGTGACAAAAAGACCTTTGCAGATGTCATCAAGGATTTTTTTTTTTTTCCTTGAGATGGAGTCTCGCTCTGTCGCCCACGCTGGAGTACAGTGGTTTAGTCTTGGCTCACTGTAACCTCTGCCTCCCAGGTTCAAGTAATTCTCCTGCCTCAGCCTCCGGAGTAGCTGGGACTACAGGCACGCGTCACCACGCCTGGCTAATTTTTGTGTTTTTAGTAGAGATGGGGTTTTGCCATGTTAGCCAGGCTGGTCTCAAACGCCTGACCTCAGGTGATCCACCTGCCTCAGCCTCCCAAAGTGCTGGGATTACAGGCATGAGCCACCGTTCCCGGCTGGTTGTTTTTTTATTTGTTTGTTTTTGTTTTTTCTTTGAGACGGGGAGTCTCACTCTCTTACTCTGTCACTCAGGCTGGAGTGCAGTGGCGCGATCTCGGCACGCTGCAACCTCCACCTCCTGGGTTCAAGTGATGATCCTGCCTCAGTCTCCCTAGTAGCTGGGATTACAAGTGCATGCCACCACGCCCGGCTAAGTTTTGTTGTTGTTTGCATTGTCATTGTTGTTTTCTGAGACAGCGTTTTGCTCTATTGCCCAGGCTGGAGTGCAGTAGCATGATCTTGGCTCACTGCAACCTCTGTCTCCCGGGTTTAAGCGATTCTCCTGCCTCAGCCTCTTGAGTAGCTGGGACTACAAGCACCTGCCACCATGCCCGGCTAATTTTTGTATTTTTAGTAGAGATGGGGTTTCACCATGTTGGCCAAGCTGGTCTCAAACTCCTGACCTCAAGTGATTTGCCCGCCTCCACCTCAGCCTCCCAAAGTGCTGGGATTACAGGTGTGAGCCACTGTGCCCCTCTCTGGCTAAGTTTTTATATTTTTGTACTTTTAGTACAATAGGGTTTCACCCTGTCATTGTCGTCCTTGTTTTCTGAGACAGAGTTTTTCTCTGTCGCCCAGGCTGGAGTGCAGTAACGTGATCTAGACCCACTGCAACCTCCGTCTTCTTGGTTCAAGCGATTCTCCTGCCTCAGCCTCTTGAGTAGCTGGGACTACAAGCACCTGCCACCACACCGGCTAATTTTTGTATTTTTAGTGGAGATGAGGTTTCACCCTGTTGCCCAGGCTGGTCGCGAACTCCTGACCTCAAGTGATCTGCTGCCCTCAGCCTTAGAGAATAAACAACTACATAACCACCAAGCAAGCAGCTCAAGAAACAGAATAAGATAAGGGCGGTGAGTTACCAGTTCCATTCAGTCTGTGTTGGTCCTAGTCAGTACAGTAAGACGTGAAAAAAAAAAAAATGAAGTATTAATAAGACTGTTGGAAGGGAAAAAATAAAGCTGTTTTTATTTGTAGATAATAACATGATACATTTAGAAAATCCCCAAAAAGCATAAATTATTAGAATTATTCTCATAATAAGTAAATGTAGCAAAGTTGCTGGATATGAAGCCATTGTACAAAAATCAATCCCATATCTACATATTAGAATCAAACAAAATGAAGATTTGGTGCCTGGCACAGTGGCTCGCACCTCTAATCACAGCACTTTGGGAGGCCAAGGTGGGAGGATCACCTGAGCCCAGGAGTTCGAGACCAGCCTGGGAAACACAGCATCTCTACTAAAAATTTAAAAAATCAGCTGGGCTTGGTGGCCTCCGTCTGTGGTCCTAGCTACTTGAGAGGTTGAGGTGGGTGAATCACTTGAGCCCAGGAGGTCGAGGCTGTAGTGAGCTGTGATCATACCACTGCATTCCAGCCTGAGTGACAGAGCAAGACCCTGTCTAAAAAATAAATAAAATAATCTTTGTATTACAAAATAAATGTTCATTTAGAAATACTTTACAAATTAAGATTAGCAGCCAGGCATGTTGGCTCACACCTGTAACGCCAGTACTTCAGGAGGCTGAGGCAGGAGGATCGCTTGAGCCCAGGAGTTCAAGACCAGCCTGGGCAATATAATGAGACCTTGTCTCTATAAAAAATTAAAAAATCAGTCAGGTGTGGTGGTGTGCATCTGTAGTCCCAGCTACTTGAGAGGCTGAGGTGGGAGGATCACTTGAACCAAGGAGGCAGAGGTTGTACTCAGCCTAGATTGCACCACTGCACTCCAGCCTGGGCCACAGAGGGAGACCCTTTCTCAAAAAAAGAGAGGAAAATCAAGATTAGCAATACGGAAAAGAAAAGATTTTCTTGATCCACTACCCAGAGATAACTACTGTTTCTTGTTCCATGTTGCTGCATATGTTCCAACCTAGAAGGATGGCTGATAGGTAGATGGATGACTGGATATAAGTGAAGTTTTTTGGTTATTTGTTTATTTATTAGAGACAGGATCTCAGCTGTGTTCCTCAGGCTGGTCTTGAACTCCTGGCTTCAAGCAGTATTCCCGCCTCAGCTTCCTGAATAGCTGGGATTGCAGGTACAAACCACCATGTCCAGCACTGATTTTTTTTTTTTTTTTTTTTTTTTTTCTGAGATGGGGAGTCTCACTCTGTCGCCCAGGCTGGAGTGCAGTGGTGCAATCTGGGCTTATTGCAAGCTCCACCTCCTGGGTTCACACCATTCTCCTGCCTCAGCCTCCCGAGTAGCTGGGACTATAGGCGCCCACCACCACGCCTGGCTAATTTTTTTTATATTTTTAGTAGAGACGGGGTTTCACCATGTTAGCCAGGATGGTCTCGATCTCCTGACCTCGTGATCTGGCCGCCTCGGCCTCCCAAAGTGCTGGGATTACAGGCGTGAGCCACCTCGCCTGGCCAATTTTTGCTTTTTAACAGAAATAGAATCAAACTTTATGTTTTGTTTTGTAATGTACTTTGTTCACTTAGCAATAAATATATATTTCCATGTTTACCTATAACATGAATTTAAGAGCTGCACAATATTGTATGAATATATTATAATATTTGTTTAGTCCTCAATCATTAGATGTTTTATAGGAAGTTATTGACTTTTATCTGTTGTATAAACGATGCCATCTCAGGGAGCCTTACACATAAGTCTTTTGTTCTTACCCTTTGAGATAGTTTCTCCTTCTTAGACCTCCCTCTCTATCATTTCATAGATATTTAAAGGGACTCAGAATAGTTCCCGAGGATAAACAAAGAAGGAAAGGTTCATATGAGTGGAATAGAATGCTCAGACTGAATTTATCAGCATCTTTCCCTCTGGATTGAATGTTCTTCAAATCTTGGAATGCCCTGGATTCAAAAGCACCTCAAAGTCTAGAATTTGAGTCTTTGAAGAGAGAATTTGATTTTTTTTTTTTTTAGACAAATCCTTGAGACTTGAGAGTGCTCTGAGTGGTACTAAATGTATGTAGTCTTATCTACATCATTTAGGAGGTGTGTTCAAGGGCAAAAATATAAGAGTAGTGGCAGTGCAATGTCTGAGGACCAGAAGATCAGGACAATGTCCTGGACTCCAAACTTTGGAGGCAAGATTGCTTATAGATGAACAGTAATTAATGATGATGACTGGTATATGAAAACCTGAAGATTAGTGAGCCGAGGTCGCACCATTGCACTCCAGCCCGGGTGACAGTGTGTGAGACTCTGTCTCAAAAAAAAAAATAAATAAATAAAGGCCGGGATTGGTGGCTCATGCCTGTAATCCTAGCACTTTGAGAGGCCGAGGCAGGCTGATCAACCTGAGGTCGGGAGTTTGAGAACAGTCTGGCCAACATGATGAAACCCCATCTCTACTAAAAGTACAAAATTAGCCAGGCTTGGTGATGCACGCCTGTAATCCCAGCTACTCGGGAGGCTGAGGCAGAATTGCTTGAACCCAGGAGGCAGAGGTTGCAGTGAGCCAAGATCGCGCCCCTGCACTCCAGCCTGGGCAACCAGAGCAAAACTCCATCTCTAAAAAAAAAAAAAAAAAAGGGTCAGTTATGTGAGCATGCCTACCTGCCTAGCCTTCCTACCTACCTACCTACATACATACATACAACCTTTGTCTCAAGACTTAATAAATATAAAATTAAAATTGGTTAAGAGGAGAATGTATGATAGAAAAAGAAACTTTGATTTAAACTTCTGCCCTGGTACTTTTTGTCTCACCCTTTTTAGTTTTCTTTACTAATATAATATCATATATGTAAAAGAATATATATTTTTACTTCATAATTATATTTACTTTTATTTTATTTATTTTTTTGAGACAGGGTCTTGCCCTGTTGTCCAGGGTGGAGGGCAGTGATACAATCATGGCTCACTGCAGCCTTGACTTCCCAGGCTCAAGCAATCCTCCCACCTCAGTCCCTTGAGTAGCTGGGGACTATAGGCGCACGCCATCACACCTGGCTAATTTTTAAATTTTTTGTGGAAACGGGGTCCCACTATGTTGCCTGGGCTGGCCTTGAACTCCTAGGTTTAGGTGATCCTCCTGCCTTGGCATCCTAAAGTGCTGGAATTACAGGCATGAGCCACTGTACCCAGCCCATAATTTTAGATATTCAAAACAATTGAAGGCCAGGCGCGGTGGCTCATGCCTGTAATCCCAGCACTTTGGGAGGCCGAGGCAGGCGGTTCACCAGAGGTCAGGGGTTCGAGACTAGCCTGGGCAGTATGGTGAAACCCTGTCTCTACTAAAAATACAAAAATTAACCAGGTTTGGTTGTGCACCCTGTAATCCCAGCTACTTGGGAGGCTGAGGCACAAGAATCACTTGAACCCAGGAGGCGGAGGCTGCAGTGAGCTGAGATTGCACCACTGCACTCCAGCCTGGGCAATAGAGTGAGATCTGTCTCAAAAAAATTAATTAAAAATAAATTTATAGTTAATACCTTTACTTCATTAATCAACTTACTAATATATATTTACATACAATGAAAGGTATACATTTGAATGTATGGGTGTATATATACCCGTATCAAGATACAGAATATTTATATATTCTGCATAAGGACCACTTCAATCAAGGTATAGAATATTTCCTTCTCCACAAAATGTTCCCAAGTGCCTCTATCCCCCATCCTACTCCCTGCCCCAGGCAGCTACTGATCTAATTATTCTCACTATAGATTAGATTTGCCTGTTATAAAATTTCATATACATGGAATCATATAGTATATACTCTTATGTCTTTGTTTTGTCACTCAGCATAACGTCTGAGATTCATCCATATTGGGCATTATATTTTTTCAGTCGTTTATTGATGAGTAGTATTCCATTGTATGGATATATCACAGTTTATCCATTCACTTGTTGATAGATATTTTGGCTGTTTTTATTTTGGAGGGGTTATGAAAAAGATACTGTGAACATTAATGTACAGGTTTTTTTGTGGTCATATATTTTCATTTCTCTTGGATAAATATCCAGGAGTAGAATTGCTTAGTCATTTAAGTATATATCTAACTTTAAAAGAAGCTTCCAAACTTTTTTGAAGTGATTACACCCTTTTATACTCCCACTAGCAATATGTGAGCGTTCTAGTTGCTCATATTCTTGCCAACACTTGGTATTTCTGATCTTTATAGTTTTAGACATGCTAGTAAGTGTGAAGTAGTATCTCATTTTGGTTTTATGTTTTTGGAGGGTTTTTTTGTTTGTTTGTTTGAGACAGAGTCTCGCTGTCACCCACACTGGAGTGTAGTGGCGTGATCTCAGCTCACTGCAGCCTCCGTCTCCTGGGTTAAAGCAATTCTCCTACCTCAGCCTCTCAAGTAGCTGGGATTACAGCTGTAGCATGCCACCACACACCCACCTAATTTTTTTACATATTTTTAGCAGAGACAGGGTTTCACCATGTTGGCCAGACTGGTCTCGAACTTCTGACCTCAAATGATCCACCCGCCTCGGCCTCCCAAAGTGCTGAGATTACAGGCGTGAGCCACTGTGCCTGGCCATAGTTTTAATAGTCATTTTCCTGAATAATGATGAGCATCTTTTTATGAGTTTACTGACAATTATTATATCCTCATTTGGGAAATGTTCTAATCTGTTGGCCATTTTTAAACATTGGGGTGTTTTCTTATTGAGTTATAAGAGTTCTTCAAATATTCTTGACACAAATACTTGTCAGATATACATCCTGTGAATATTTCTCGTGGTCTGTGACTGGTTTGCCTTTTTTTTTTTTTTTTAAACATAGTCTTGAACAGCAAACTTTTTTTTTTTTTTTTTGAAACAGGGTCTTGCTCTGTTTCCCAAGGGATCCTCCCACCTTAGCCTCCCCAGTAGCTGGGACTATGGGTGCACGCCACCACACCTGTCTAATTTTTGTAATTTTCGTAGAGCCATGGTTTCGCCATGTTGCCCAGGCTGGTCTCAACTCCTGATCTCCAGCGATCTACCTGCCTTAGCCTCCCAAAGTGCTGGGATTATAGGCATGAGCCACGGCGCTTAGCCTTCCGGTGGAATTTTGACTACACAGTAGGGACTTCCACTTTTAACTGTTTCAAATACTCTAGAATTGCCATCATTTAGGACAAAGGCTTTTGAAGGTTTGATGTTTTCGTGGGCTATTTTTTGTGATATCATTATTGTCAGTGACAGGAAAAATGAATCTTTAGCTGCCTAAGAGTGAATTCAAGTGTTTCTTAACTACCAGTAAACTCAGAAATAACCAGATGAAATAATATAAAACCTCATTTGTAGTGAATGCTTATCTAGCAATACTTTTTTTTTTCTTTTTTGGCTCATGCATACACCCCTCTCTAAAGTGAAGAGAATAATGATAAACTGTTCTTAATTCTAGAATGCAGAGGAAAACGTGGTTTGCATATGTGCAGCAAAAAACTTTGGAAGATTGAAATTGCACAATGAGTGTAGGTTGAGCAATGGCTTCAGAAGGCATACATGTTCCGTGGGGGTGTCCTTTGCTCTTGTGCAATTAGGGAACTCCAGAGCTGCCTGAACAGGGGATTTCCTTTTTATTTCTCACATGCCATTTAAAAAATTAACTTCTTCCCTTCTTTTCAATGTTCACCCCTTTTTATTACTCCCTTAAATTCTTACTTGTGGTTTCTTTTCTTTTAAGGAATTACTCAAACATTTATGTGTCCCACTCCTGTGACTTTGGTTAGAAATGCACCTGGGCCAGGTTCTACTGGTGGTGGGAGGAGAGCTTGCTGATGGTTTAGGGATTTCTAATTCAGCTTCTTGTCGCCATTGCAATACCCAGCTGGTTCTAAGCATTTGAAATACAGGTTACAAATCAGCCAGCATTCCCTGATTGCTTAGTACTAGAATTTTGCAGACTTTGTA